>NC_000010.11:8646363-8797878 GCF_000001405.40 Homo sapiens | reverse complement strand
GGTTGCCCAAGTGGAGGCACAAACAGGAATTAAGTGAGGAGAGGAATTTCCTTGGGCCTTGGTCCTGGCAACTATAGCTCTTGCAGAGGGGCCCATCCTCCACAGGTCCATCTTACAAAGAGCTCTGGTAGCTATTGCCAGAGCAATAGCTTCAAGCCATGTTTCCTCTTCAAGCCTTGTTGCCTAATAGTAATGCTTTCCTTTGTTACTAATCCTAGGGGCTGCGATGTCTTCTCTTGAACTTGCTCACCTTTGTAAATAGTCCTTCCTTCAAGTCTCTGTGGTTGAACAATCTGAGTGGAGTCCTATTCGAGGCCACAGACCTGTCTAATGCACATGTCTTACACACTGGAACACAGTTTCTAGGGTAGTGCCTTGCATACATTAAGGATATATTTTTATTATTTATTTATTTATAGGTATTTATTTATTTATTTTTTGAGATGGAGTTTCACCCTTATCACCCAGGCTGGAGTACAATGGCACAATCTCGGCTCACTGTAACCTCCACCTCCCAGGTTCAAGCAATTCTCCAGCCTCAGCCTCCTGAGTAGCTGGGATTACAGGTGCCCGCCACCATGCCCTGCTAATTTTTTGCATTTTTAGTAGAGATGGGGTTTCACCATGTTGGCCAGGTTTGTCTTGAACTCCTGACCTCAGGTGATCCACCCTTCTTTGTCTCCCAAAATGCTGAAATTACAGGCTTGAGCCACTGCGCCTGGCCAGAATATATTTTTTAAAACAAGACCTTTGCTCAATTAAGTAAGAATGAATGCCTTTAATGATATGATTAAATAAATTAGTCCAAATAGGCAAATAACAAAGCTCCAAACTTTGGGGCATTTCAAGTACTCAGAGAAAACAATGTTGACATTCTTCAGCAGTCATCACTATTCCTTAATTTGTGTTTAGGCATGAGATGAATTATAAATGATGAAGTTTTATTAAGCCTCCTGAAGCTGCTTAAACAATTAGTGTCACTACTTTTATCTCTAGGTTATTTTGGAGGTCAACATAGAAACTGATCAAGACTTAAAACAGATAACAAAAAACCAAACACCGCATATTCTCACTCATAGGTGGGAATTGAACAATGAGATCACATGGACACAGGAAGGGGAATATCGTACTCTGGGGACTGTGGTGGGGTGGGGGGAGGGGGGAAGGATAGCATTGGGAGATATACCTAATGCTAGATGACGAGTTAGTGGGTGCAGCGCACCAGCATGGCACATGTATACATATGTAACTAACCTGCACAATGTGCACATGTACCCTAAAACTTAAAGTATAATAAAAAAAAAAAAAAGAAAAAAAAAAAAGACTTAAAACAGGAAAGAGGTTATAGCTACCAGCCAGAGCCTAAAACACGTTCCTTGAAGGTTCCTATTAAACTACAGGGTTAAAGTTGTCAAACATCGAAGAAAATTAGTTTAGCATATCTAAGCAAATTTAATATTATCTTAACATGGGAAGGTTTATTAGAAATTGTCTAGTCTAGGCTGGGTGCGGCGGCTCATGCCTGTAATCCCAGCACTTTGGGAGGCAGAGGTGGATGGATCACGAGGTCAGGAGATCAAGACCATCCTGGTCAACATGGTGAAACTCCGTCTCTACTAAAAATACAACAATTAGCTGGGCATGGTGGCACGTGCCTGTAGTCCCAGCTACTCAGGAGGCTGAGGCAGGAGAATCACTTGAACCTGGGAAGCAGAGGTCACAGTGAGCCGAGATCACACCACTGCACTCCAGCCTGGTGACAGAGCAAGACTCCATCTCAAAAAGAAAAAAAAAAAAAAGAAATTATCTAGTCTAGGGATTCTCAATGCTGTCTCAATACTCCCTTTTAGAAGAAATGTCTTATAATTCTTTTTTTATTATATTAAATAAAATTTATATATAAAGTCATGTAGCCACATAGCCAGTTGTTAAGTATCTATATAACAAGTTATCTATAACATTAAAGTAAAATAAAGAAAAATGATTTTTATTATAAAGTATATTTCAACACATTAGTGCTTGGGAATGACAACATTTTGGAGGATACAGTGGAGTCCGTGAACCTATGTCTAGAATCTTGTACATAGACTAATGCAGGTGTGTTTTAATGGCAATGCTAATACACAAGTGGCATTGCCTTTGTACTGTGATTTTCTTACCTAGGAAACAGAAGATTATATTGTTAATAGCGTTAGCTTTATTTTATGCTCCTCTGACTTCATTGTTTTTACTGTGTTTGCTTTGTCCTGAGAACAGGAATTTTACATGTTCACTTTGGTATACTAAGCACATAGAAAGAGTGTGCCATTCCAGATATTTATTGCTGTGCACCAAATTACTCCAAAACCTAGTGGCTTAAGACAGCAATCTTGACTTTAAAAGTGAGGCCTCAGTAAAGTCTCCCTTCAAAAATCCATTACACAACTAGACAAAATTGCCAGAAAGAACTATTTCAGACCTCAGAAAATTAACCAGAGGCATACTACAGTGAATTGAGAAGTGTTTACTCAAGAAAAACTGCTGAACCCTCGGCAAAACTAGTGAGAATCTCTAAGCCTGTTCCTATTTCCCTCTTCCAGTTTAGTCAATGTGACAATTATTACCAGAGTAAGTCAAGTCATGAAAACCAGTAATTTTGCTACTGGTGGGGGCTGACTTGATTTGGAGAAAATGGAAACAAATTCAATGCCCCTGGGTATTGTCAGAGATGGTGATAACTGATGTGGTTTGGCTTTTTGTCCCCACCCAAATCTCATCTCCAACTGTAATCCCAGTGTGTTGAGAAAGGGAACTGGTGGGAGGTGACTGGGGTGGCGGCAGGGGCTTTTCATGGGGCCAGTTTCCCCCATACTAGTGAGTGAGTTCTCATGAGATCTGAAGGTTTTAAAGTGTTTGGCAGTTACCACTTCCCTCTCTCTCTCTTCCTGCCTTGTGAAGAAGGTGTTTGCTTCCCCTTCGCCTTCCACCATGACTGTAAGTTTCTTAAGGCCTCCACAGCCATGCAAAACTGTGAATCAATTAAACCTCTTTCTTCATAAGTTCCCCAGTCTCAGATAGCTCTTTGTAACAGTGTAGAAACAGACTAATACAGTGAACTTGATGTCAAATGAATGAAGAAGTCCAATGTCTCAGCAAACCTGAGGTGTAGACTTGGATGGGGAAAATATTAGATTGGCAGGCTACCCAGAAATGTATTGGTGAAAGCTGAAAAATTAAACAAAAGTTAAAGGCCTTGATAAACTTCCCCAGGTTCCTTGTGGTCTGGAAATCAGTGCACATGCACAAGACAGGACTGGAGTGGATCCCAGATATCCACATCTAGTAAGTGGGAGGAAGGAAACAGTGAAGATTAAAGAAAAATCAAAGAAATAGAGAAGAACAACTGAGAAACATTTAGCTAAACTGACCAAAAACAAACGGGAAAAGACTCGAATGACCAAAATCAAGAAGCAAAGAAGATATCATGACTGATATTACAGAAATTACAAGGATTATAATGTAATACTATAAATAACCATATACCAATGAATGTATCATTAGGTAAAATGAATACATTCCTAGAAAGATACAAATGAACGAAACTGACTCAAGAGGAAATAGCAATCTGAATAGACCTATACAAAATGAAGAAATTAAATTAGTGATTAAAAATCTCCCCACAAAGAAAAGTTCAGGACCAGATGACTTCATTTGTGAATTCTACCAACTCAGAGAACAATATCAATACTTCAGAAACTCTTTCAGAAAAATAAAAGGTGATGGAACACTTCCAACTCTAAAGCCAGCTAAAGACAACAGAGGAAAAGAAAACTATGGAACAATATCCCTCATGAATATAGATGTAAAATTACCATTAACAAAATATTAGCAAACTAAAGCTAGCAACACGTATAAAGCACTATATTCTGTGGTCAAATGGGATTTATCCCAGGAATGTAAGATTGGTTTAACATGCAAAAAACCAATTAGTGTAAATACAACGTTAATAGCATGAAGAACAAAAACCATAGGATAATCTCAACAGACACAGAAATTTATTTAACACACTCCAACACCAACTCACAAAACAAACAAAAACCTCTAAAAAAAAAGAGAGAGATATTGAAAGGAACTTCTTCAATCTCCTAAAAGGAATCTATGAAAAACCTACAACTAACATCACATTTAATAATTGCATAATCAGGGTTTTTCAGTTAAACAGAACCAACAGGAGATTGAATGATCAATTGGAACTGGCTCATACAATTGTGAGGACTGACAAGTGAAAATCTATAGGGCAATCCAGCAGCCTGGAAACTCAGGCAGGATTTCCACAGTACAGTTTTGAGGCAGAATTCATTGTTCTTTGTGTAAGCTTAGTTTTTGCTCTTAAGGCCTTCAATGGATTCGGTTAGTTCTACCCACATAATAGAAGGTATTCTTCATTTAAAGGAGGGGTGTCCAATCTTTTGACTTCCCTGGGCCACATTGGAAGAAGAATAATTGTCTTGGGCCACACATAAAATACACTAACACTGACAGCTGATGAGCTGAAAAAATGCAAAAAAAAATCTCATAACATTTTAAGAAAGTTTACAAATTTGTGTTGCGCCACATTCAAAGCCATCTAGGGTCACATGCGGCCCACAGGCCGTGGATTGGACAAGCTTGATTAAAAGTTTACTGATTGCAAATGTTAATCCCTTGTACAAAATGCCATCATTGCAAAATCTAAAGTGGTTTATTACCAAACAATTGAATGCAGTAGCCTAGCCAAATTGACACATTAAATTAACCACCAAAATGTTGAACACAGTGCTTTTATCCTACAATTATAAACAAGGCAAGAATATCTGCTCATGCCACATCAATTCAACATTGTACTGGATGTGATCGTTTATCCATTGCAATAAGGCAGAGAGATAGAGAAAATGGGAGAAAGAAAAAGGGAAGTATTAAAGGAATTCAGATTGGAAGGAAGAAATAAAGCTGGATTTATTCAGAAAAAAATCCTAGGAAATCCACAATCAAAAGAAAAAACTATTAGAGCTAATGAACTAATTCAGCAAGACCAAAGGATACAAGATGAATATATATATATATTCATATATATATATATAATATTTCTACATACTGACAATGAACAATGGATATTTATATAGACCTCAATTTACATAGATCCCCTAACAGGACTAACATGAAAAACAAACTTCCCCAAATTTTGCTTCAGAGCAGTTTTCACAGATCATGCTCAAAGTCCTTAGTAGCAATGTATATTGAAAGAATAGTCTTTGGTTTATTAAAAAAAACAAAAACAAAACAGCATATTCACAGCACAACCAGAACATCTCACTCAAAATTCATTTTCAGTGGATCTTTCAGACCTCTAGAGGATTCTCTGAAGGCTTAGCCAGACTAGTCAACCATAGTTAATACTTATTTATGTATTCAGCATTTTTTTTCTTCAAACAGCAACACTCCTGATTCTTTAAATGCTCTCATGAAGTTTTCTGAACCGCAAGGATCTATTCCGGGGAGGTGCTGAGATGAATATATGACAAAAAGAAACTAAAGGGAGAAAAAGTCGAAATCGTAGTCCCAAACTTGGAGGCGAACAAGATGCAATTAGATTATGTGAGTTTGTCAAGAAAAGAGCCCTCGATTTTAAGCAGCATGTATACTTCATAATGGAAAATTTCCATTTGGGAGCTAAGGGTGTGGTACTGTGAAAGTGTCAGGATGTGGTCAGGCATTGGGGAAATAAGCTTGAGACTTAAAGGCATTGTGCTTCAGAGTTCCAGGGCTGCCACTGATTCATGCCCCTCTTCACTTGTTCAATAAAACATTCCCTCATGTGAAGGGAAGAATTAAAACAATGAGTATGTGCTTCCTAAATACCATTTTCAACATCCACTAATGTTTGACAATCTTGGTTAAGATTGAATTTACTCCACATAGTATTCCATGGTGCATATGTACCACATTTTCTTTATCCAGTCTATCACTGGTGGGCATTTATGTTGATTCCATGTCTTTGCTATTGTGAACAGTGCTGCAATGAACATACATGTGCATGCGTCTTTATAGTAGAATGATTTGTATTCCTTTGGGTAGCAAACTAACACAGGAACAGAAAACCAAATACTGTATGTTCTCACTTATGAGTGGGAGCTAAATGATGAAAATACATGGAAACAAGGACACAAAGAGGGGAACAACAAACACTGGGGCTTATTGGAGGGTGGAAGGTGGGAGGAGGGAGAGGATCAGGAAAGATAACTAATAGATATTAGGCTTAATACCTGGGGGACGAAATAGTCCGTACAACCAACCACCATGACATAAGTTTACCTATGTAACAAACCTGCACATGTACCCCTGAACTTACAATATAAGTTGTTTTTTTTTTAAATAAAGAAATTACTCTCACCCTTTATGGAGTTTGTTTACAAAACTAGGCAACCTCTCTCTACAGCTTAACCCATAAATGGAGAAGGAAAGAAGGAAATCACTTTGTGATGAGTTGAGTGGGTGCCCTGATAACAACAGGTTCACAACTTGGGAGGCGGAGCTTGCAGTGAGCCGAGATCGCACCACTGCACTCCAGACTGGGCGACACAGCGAGACTCTGTCTCACAAACAAACAAACAAAACAGGTTCACAATAACACAATTTGCAGAAATGAATAGCTAATGATAATTTAACACTTTCTATGCACCAGACACTTTACACTTGGCAAACTGCATCACAGTTTTTCATTCTTGCAACAGCTCTTTAAGGTAAATACTCTTACTCTTCCCATTGTACAGATAAATTATATTACAGATGTATATTACAATGTATATTACCTTGTATAGATGGATCATATGAACATTATGTTAATTATATTGTACACAAATTAATTAAGAAGATAAAGTCGTGAAACATCACATAACATATCTAAAGATGAGCTGATGTCTCAATCCAATTCTATATTGAATAGTACAATTTAGCTCTTAATTGGAAAGCTATGTTGCTCCTTTTAGACCAATTGAAATTCCCAGTCTTCCCTGAATCATTTTCTTACCCTGGTCATCCATTTTCCCATTCCTGCCCTCAGTCGTTGAAAGATTCCTTAATAGGTGGACATGATAACAATGTATACAGCTAGAATTTTTTTAAGATTGCTGAAATTGGGGTGAGCATCATCTACTTCTCTAATTATACTACAATCTGTTCAATAAAGCCTGCTATAAAAACAGACTCTTTGGCATTTTCAACCATATAACTGAGTAAGGAACATGTTATCTCCCAAAGTCAACACCCTGTGTAAACTGTGCACTTCCCAGACTAGCCTTTAACTCAGTGTAGTTCTCAAAGACTGTTTTCCCATGACCTTATGTACCAGTAGAGTTTTTATTAAATGATTATTTACTAAATTAATATACATTTATATTAATTATAATATAAAACTTCAACCGCATGAGGCCAGGTGCTTGACCTCTGGAAGAGAGTTCACAGGGATTACATTTTAAGGAAGAGAAGCTTATTTTCCCAGGACACCTAGGATCCAAGCAAGGGTGTGCAGAGTGGGCTTTGCCTAGGATAATGAGGATCTGACCACTTCTTTTTTTAATCTGTCAGTTTACCAGTGTGCCATACTGTTGCCCACACCACTCTGCAGCATGCTTTGTAGATATCATCATCTCAGTAAAGTAAGCTACACTTCATTCCCAAGTTTATATGCCACTGAAGATTTACTGCCAATTTGATTTATGAACTTCCTTTGCTGGGTTCCAATATCAATAGAATGCATGACCCTATTCTTTTCTTTATATTCAAAGTTTTCCTGAACATAAAAATAAGCTGTGTTAGATAAACACATTTGTGACATTCTCTTTGCAGTGGAAGACAGACCAACATAGGGGTGCAAGGAGAGGGCTGTCAAATGAAAAAGACTGCAATTCTAAAACAGAAAAGAATTCCACCCTGAAACATTTACCACTAGCACTTTAAGTAAGACATTTAGTTTTGGGGGGTCCTCAGGCTCCTGAAACTACTACTAGAAAAATACTTCCTGCCCTACCTTCTTTGTACATAGCAAATCATATGTCAAAGTGCTTTGGAAGGAATGAAACATTATACAAAAATATAGTAACTTTGTCAAAGACTAGAGATAGAGTCATCACACAGATTTCCTCTTCTTTTCCTCTTACTCTTCCATCTTTCTGCATGAGGTATGACAAAGACAGTTCTGGAAGGAAGACATGCCTCTTTGCTTCCCTTTCCAAACCACGTCCCACATTCTATTAATGCTTCTCCCCATTCCTCAGTTCCCTCTATCCTCATGGTGTTTCAGCTCCCGATTTCCCAGCAATCAAGTTTAAAGACCACAGACATTAAAATTAAAATTCTGGGTAATTCTGAGAAAATAACTTGAGGCAAAGGTTTTCAAAGAGCTATTACTCTGAAGATGGTGTGTATTCTTTCACATATTTATTTCGTATTTATCTGTAAGCATTATATAAAACTGTTTAACATGTTTTAAAAATTGCTTAATGGATAGCATATACTCCATGTCACTCTGAAGTTTTTTGCTTAAATTTTGTTTTCCTAGGCTTATCTATATGGATATATAAACTCACGTTTAGTAATTTTAACTATGTGCACAGTTGTATGGCTATACCAATTTTTCGATCCCTTTCCCATTAAATTGTAATTTTAGTATTATATTATAGTCAATGCTGCAATAAACGCCATTGAGTATATCTCCATTTGCAGCTGACTGAGAGATTCTCTACTAAATTTCAGGATCAGAGACAATTTGCAGGGTCAAACATATCAAATATTGACAAGTTGTTTTGAAATGTGATCATACCAACTTCTACTCTCACCAGAAACATGAATGTCTGTTTCTCCACATTCACCCAAAACTTGATTGTTTCATACTTTAAACTTTTCCCTTTATTGTGAAATATGTGACATATACAAAAGGGTGACACAAGCAATTTTGAAGACAAAGATGAAGAGGAAGGGAAGAAGAAAGGAAGAAATAAACATTTATGTGCTTACAACACAAATTAAGAAACAGAACATTCATATTTCGCTCTCTTTCCTGAATTTTTCTGCAATTTGGGATTGTCATTCTCTTGCTTTTTTCATAGTTTTGCCATATATTTACACACAAATAACCAGTATGTTAATTAGGTTGTTTTAAACTACAAATAAATGACACATAAAAATTTGAATTCTTTTATACCTGCTCAAAATTGTATTTTAAATTCATTCATGTTACTGAGTATAGCTTTAGGTTATTTTCACTACTATAAAGTATTTCACTTAGAGAATACAAACAATGCTTAACTACTCTACTGTTAATTGACATTTTGTTGATGTTCAGGTTTTTATATTCTTTTTTTTTTTTGGAGATGGATCCTCACTCTGTCACCCAGGCTGGAGTGCAGTGGCACGATCTTGGCTCACTGCAAGCTCTGCCTCCAGGTTCATGCCATTCTCCTGCCTCAGTTTCCTGAGTAGCTGGGACTACAGGTGCCCACCACCATGCCCAGCTAATTTTTTTGTATTTTTAATATAGATGGGGTTTCACCGTGTTAGACAGGATGGTCTTGATCTCCTGATCTCATGATCTGCCCACCTCAGCCTCCCAAAATGCTAGGATTACAGGCATGAGCCACTGTGCCCAGCCTTATTCATGTTTTTGCTCAAGTTTTCTTGTTATTTGTCCTTGCCATAATATCCAGAGGAGCTCTTTATGTTGTGATAGATGCCCTCTGAAGACAGCCATCACCAAATGTGTCCTTACCTGTTTTCAAGTGTTTCTATATGCATCAAGCAATGGGGTCAGTTTTCCATCTGCTAGAATCTGTGCTGGCCTTGTGACTTGCTTTAATCAATAGCATGAAGCAGAAGTAGTACTGTGCAATCTCAAACCCAGATTGTATGGGGCCTGGCAGCTGCCACTTTCCCTCTTGACTTTATTTCACCCTTATTATTGAAAGATAGTTTAGCTGGGTATAGAAATCTAAGAATTTTTTTTTCAGGACTTTGAGGATACCTTCCACTATCTTTTGGCTTTAATATTGCTAGTAAAAAGTAAGCTACTCCTCTGATTGCCAGTCCTTGAAGGCATTCCCTTTCCTATCCACATTCCTGCATGCAGTTTCTCTATACTCCTCTAGGCAACAATCTCTTTTAATCATTCAATATTCTGTATTTATCATATATATCTTTATTTATGTAACTGGGCATATATATATGTATGGATGCATGCATGTATGTATTGAGATTTAGCTCTTTTAATCTGTGACTGGTTTCTCTTATCATTTATAAAGAATTCTTAGCAACTATCTTTGAAAATAATCATCTTCCTTAGCCTCTCTCTGCTCTCCTTCTAGGACTCTAATTGAATATATTGTAAAACTTTTTTTTTTACCCTTTAAATCTCATAATTTTTCATCATGGTTTCTCTTTCAATATTTTTGTCTCTACATGTTATATCTAAGCAATGTATTTTTACATATATTCATATTTATTAATTTTACCTTTGGCTGTATTTAATATTGCACTAATCCCATTCATCAAATTTTTAATCTCAGCTGTTAAGTTTTCACTCCTAGAAAATCTCTTTGATTGTTTTTTTTTCAAATATACTAGGTCACATTATAGTTTCTTGTTACATATGGATATTTTCAGTGTTGTCTTAGAGTATTTTAAACATAGTATAATGTGGTTATTAATTTTGTCTCAATTTGACTGGGCCAAGGATGCCCAGATACCTGATTAAATGTAATTTCTGACTGTGTCTCTGAGAGTTTTTCTGAAAGAGATTAGCATGTAAATTGGAGGACAGGGTGAATAGATCCCCCTAATATGCATAGGCATCATCCAATCCACTGAGAGCCTGAATACAATGGAAAGGTGGAGGAAGGTTGAATTAACTGTACCTGATGACTTGAGCAGAAACATCAATTTTCTCTTCCCTTTTGCACTCCTGCTTCTGAAGCCTTCAGACTGAGACTGGAATCTATACCCTCAGCTCTTTGCCACTCAGACCTTTGAACTATTCAGTTGGCTTCCCTGAGCATCCAGCTTGCAGATGGCAGATTATGGTACTTCTCAGCCTCCATAATTGTATGAACCAATGCCCTATAATAAAGTTGTTTATAGATATATCTCTCCAGTTGTTTCTGTTTCCCTAAAGAACCGTGACTAACACAGTAAGCATAATTGCTTTACATTTCTTGTTAGATGTTTCTAATATTTTACATCTTTACAGGCTTATTTTGGTTCTCTGTTTTGTTTTGTCCTTTTCTTCTGATGGTTCATTGCCATCATTCCTTGTTTCCTTGTGTATTTATTATTTTTTTAACTATATGGTCTCATTGTCCTTGAAAAATTATTTGTGGGGTTTCTATGATACCTGTGATGAAAACTAATGCTTTCTTCCAAAGAAAGTGAACGCCTTCTTCTTAATCCTACAATTTCTTTGGTTAGGCACCTAGGGACCTTCAGTCAGGAAATAGTTTAAACTAAATTCCAAATTGGTAAATTTTTGGACCACTCGGGTGATGCAAATCTGAACTAAAAATGCACACAGGGGTTAGAAAACTTTTCTTTTTCTTCTTTAATGTTCAGTGCGAAACCAACTTTCCTTGTGACTGTTTGAGGCTGGGGCAGGAAAGGTTTATTTCTGATTCATCCTTTCTCTAAATTTGTAGCTATATAGGTTTCCAGCTCAAAATGAAAAGAATACTCTACTAGTTCTGGGTTTTAACTTATTCACTCTTTGTCTCTAAGGTCCATCTAAGATTATCAAAAGATCTGAAGGCTGTGGCAGCTTGACTGCTTTGTTTACATCTCTGGATTTCCCTAGATTTTTACCTGGTAATTTCTCAGTATTTGCACTTTAAGATATTTTAAAAAGTTCTTATCGGCATTTTCAATTATTTTCAGTGGCAGGAGAGGTCCAAATAACCTATTCTTCCACATTCTAGGAAGTGGACATCCATCCATTAATTTTTAAAATTTTATTTATTGTATTTTTCATAGCCAGATGTTCAATTTGATACTTTTCCAAATCTGCTTAAAATGTTTATTTTTGTTCATGATATTTTCAAACTTTAATTCTTTAAAAATCTAAACAAAATTATTTTATATATTTTATATATATTATTTCTATATTCTATAATTTACAGATCTGATAGCTAAGATTATTATTCCTATGATACTCATAAAACCTTTTCTCATTACTTATTAATTTCTCAATTGGGAGCTAATTTCCTTAGAATTTTATCAGCAAGAGTAATTTGAAGCCTAGTTTAAAATATATTTCACTAGAGATTCTTTGTGTTTGCTTCTTCCAGGATCTTTTAGATGCTTCCAACCTAGCATGATTATAAATTAAATTTTCAGCTTAGTATTTTTTGTGTCACACAAATAGCTGAATTCCATCTACAGCTCTAAGTGTGGGTTTTATAGTCAGGAAATTTTTCTACTCTTGTCAAGGCAAAGGTTGATACTTGTAGTTCTTCTCTTGCTTACTCTCTGAGCTGGTCACACATTGAAGATCCTTAATTAGTGGAGAGGTCTTTGATTTGAACTCACTCTGCCAAGGGACACTAGCTCTTTCTCCTGTCCTCCACACACAACCCATTGACACTCAGCCCTTAGCCCACCAGAAGCGTGCACACCTTTCAAGGCCAAAGCCAATGCCAACACTACCTTACCTTTGGAGAATTGAACTTTCTCTTTTGATCTTTTTTTTTACTCCTTTCTTTCTCGTTCTCAATATTAAAAAAGATGTTTTATATATTTACCTTTCATTTTTATACGTTTGACAATGACAGGTATTTCTCTACCTTTCAGAGAATCATGTTCTGAAAAATGGAATTCATCACACGCTTTCAAACCTTCCTAATTATCTTCTTGCATTTGGCCTGACCTCCCCTGATGCTCATTTTATACCCCATTCATCACATTTACATAAATTTTGAACTTAATAAATGTTTAGTGAAGTAAATTGTTGCTGAATGATAAGAGAAAATGTGTTAGTTACTTTTCCAACTGAGTGATATATGCTCAGCAAAAAAAAAGTATATGCAAAATACCTTTCTTGACCAGTTTTTAACTTTGAATGTTATAGATATTATTACTTTGCAAAATTAACAAACTAATTGTTGTATGAGTTATACACTATCTCTTAACTATTATGTTGTGTGTGGTAACACAAAGTAATGTATGACCTTAGAATTTACCCTACAAATATTAGAAATGCACATCTGTCTTCCTCTATTTATTATAATCTTTCTAGTCTTTCCATTATCAACATCATTATTAGGTAGTATTGTAGATTTATGCAAGAGCTTCTTCCAAGAACTAAATGGGTTTTATGGAGATAAACAGTTGAAAACTTAGTCTGATTTACCTACTTAACACCATTAATCTCAGGCCAAAAACAGAGTTTGCTGTCTGAAACAGCTTTCAACTATTAATAGACATGTAATTTATACTCAGTCAAGTCTATGTGTGGTTAGTGGTGGGGGAGGGGTTTGAACTGTGAGAGTATTATATAATGACATCCCATTTCACTCAGTATCCTAAAGGAACAATAATAAATGCTTTAAAATTCTCAAGAGTAGGGAAGGAACAAAAGACTACCAACTTTGGCAAGTTAGGTAAGCAGTGTAACACAGAACGCACTATTGAGTACTCACAGAGGAGCTTCCTGGAGACATTATTCTCAGAAAATCATAAGGATTCCAAGCAAGGAACTTGGAAATTACTGCCATAGATATCCTTTCCAAGGTTATCAACAGTCCTAAATCCAAGATATTTTAGCCAACTCTCACAATCTATATTCACTCAACACAGAGAACTTCTTTCAAATCACTAGAGTTTAAGAATGATATCATTCAAGGCACTTATCTGAAAATGAAGATTTAAATGAAACTATGCTATAATTGGAGTTTCCAAATAACCTCAGATAAACCAGAATGACTTCAACTAATTATTTTGTTTCCCCATCCTCAATTGTGTAGGTGCGACCTTGCTAGCCAATTTGTAAAGTACAAAACATATGACCCTTTCTAGGGTCCAGCATTTATGTATGAGCTCAGTGCTGAATAGAACATTTGAATTTTTACCATTCGTAGTGGGGATACTACATAGTGACAATCTAATAGGAATTAAAGTCTGATTTGTTATTTCACTAAACCTTATTCTTTCAGAGAGTTGTGTTTGCCTCTTTGTAACCAAAAAAAAAGTATCTACACCATAATTTCTTTTTTAGAAGAAAATAAAAAATGAGAACGGGCTTATAAAAACAAGAATATTTTAAGATAGCGGTAGCGGTACTTGACTTTTCCTGCCTAAGTGAGAATTTCCTGTCGAGAGAGTTGACAAAGCGGGTTTGAGGCAGCTTTCCTGTAATTAATTTTCTTCGTGTGTGAATTTAATACTGATGCAAAGGTGTTGCTCATTTGACAACTCCAAGGTTTAATGTCTAACCATCCAACAGGAAAGGAAGAACACGGCTTCCCAGAATTCCTCATTAATTAGCTTCAATCCTCACTCGATGATACCCATCCACTCATCTAAGACTGCTAATTGTTATCAATTGAATGATTTCCAGGATGAAATCAATACCTACAAAGAACATAACTCATTTACATTGCTTGTTGAACAGCTAGATGACAAGAAATGTTCATACTTATGACTCTGGGCCAGATTTGAACTTCTACTAAACAGAGAGATAGCATTATGTATGCAAAGAGCATTGAACTTGAAATAACAATGACTGGATTTTTGTTCTACCTGATTGTGGATAAATTAAATAACCTGAGAGCTATGAGTCTTCATTTCTTCAACGGCAAAATACAGATGAGGTCAAAGTCTTTCCTAATGGTAAATATTTTTAAAATTATGATTTCCAGGGCACTAATCAAACTCCATAGTTTTATGTAATAGAGTAAGCTCAAAAGGTATATATTTTGTAATGTCACAACTATTGTGTTAAACATCTCTCCACTTTAGTCTTCAAGAGTCAAGTGAAAAATAAGAACTTTGAAATATCTGCATCTATTTCATTTTCTCCCTCTAGTCAATGTTTGGCTTTTACAGTGAAACTAACTGAGATATTTGAGAATATAAAGGGTTTTGGATGAGTGAACATTGAGTGACTGAAGCTCTCAGGAAAGAATTTAAAAGATCTCAGAGGCATGCAGCCACGTTATATAAACATATTTTGAACTGTACCATCCTATCTATAGTACTGGCGCCACAGTTGCATTAAGTGAAATTCTATCCAAAAATTGGGAAGGTGCTCTGAGTTTGTTTGTCTGCTCTTCTGTTCTTTCTCAAAAACCTTAAATGAAAATGAAGGTAGTGTAGACAAATGTGCCCAGTCTTAAAAAGCTCCTAACTGGACCGAGAACATTTTAATTGCAGCCAACTTTGTCAAAACTGTCACTCTGGCCTCAAAGTGATTCCTAGGGGGAACTTCAAGTTACATTAATTTTTCTAGATGCTCATTCTTTTGAACTCTAAGAAAATTTATTCCTCCTTCATTTTTCTTTTCCTTTTTAAAAGAAAGGATGGGAGGTAAAAGGAAAAGAAATAGTTGCATCTCTAACTTCTGAAATCCAACAGACTGCTTCTGTGCCAGTCTATTAGGGTTGTCATGAAAATGCATTTACTTATCTTTTATGCAGCCCTCCCCTACTCCATCAACTAAAATAAAGTTTGTATTTATTTTTTCTGGAAATATCCAAAGTGGCCCTGGCTAAGCTTCAAATCTATTTTTCTATATGCTGTGGCTTTAAATGTTGCCGTCTGTACTTGGCAAACAGAGATAACTGGAGTAAGCTCAACAATAACTGAACTTGAAAAAAATGCAAGAGCAACTGACTGTTGAAAAGTCAAATTATGATTTTCATTTGATGATTGTAAAACCCTTTGATGGTGCCAGTAAGTCTTCTCCTCCTTATATTTCTTATACTTTGAAATACTTGCTATGAATTATTTGTTTTACCCAGGTTTTAAACAAGAAACATGTATCATTTCTATTTGCCTGCTGTACTGTACAGAATTTAAGAATTCATCCTTCATGATAAGTATGTCTGAAAAATTATTGTTTTACTCTGTGTCAATGACACAACTCAGCTTCGTTGGAGGAGTAGACATGAAGGCTGTTATACATGTTTGAATGAAATGACTTGATATGAATATTCACTATTAAAATTATCTGCCCAGAAATGGCCTTGAAAGCCATCTTTTCCATGTATCATCTTTACTACATGATCATTTAAACTAACTCAGATTTTTTAAAATATCGTATTTTCTTAAGAATTCAGCCTGAGCAGTAGCCTGGGTTCTCCCTCACTAGCATCGTAAGGAAGTCATCTCCCTTCTGTTTGACTTAAATCCCTCCTGGTGTTTTTATACTCATATATTTTTTTCTTATATTTCAGAGGGATAGCATTAGCAGAAATACCTAATGAAGGTGATAGGTTGATGAGTGCAGCAAACCACCGTGACACATGTATACCTATGTAACAAAACTGCACGTCCTGCACATGTACCCCAGAACTTAAAGTATAATAATAATAATAATAATAATAATAATAATAAATGAGAGAAATCCAAGATCTGAATCTATTCTTATGCTTTAAAAAATGAATGCTGCCATATTCATATATATATGAATATATGAATAGGTCAAATATGAATATGGCAACATTCATTTTTAAAAGCATAAGAATAGCATATTCTGTTTTGAGAATCCCAATTATACAGAAAATGATAGACCTGTATCTCAAGTGAATTTGTTTAGGAACAAACAGCAATGAGCAATCATAATATTGGGCTAGTTTTAACTCCATCCCACCTTAGAAATATGGCTTCAAGCAAGTTACCCAGTCTCTCTGGGTCTCAGGTTTTTTCCTTGGTGGAATGAGGAATTTTTCTCTCTGCTTATTTGCTTACTGTCCTCAAGGGAAAAAAACCTTGTCAGGCTCCCTCACTCCTGTAGCCCCTTGTCTAGCAGAGGACCAGGCAGTGTCGTTGCTGGGTTGTCTAATGAGGACTGCACGTTTTTGAGATCTGGTGGCTTTCATTATGATTATTTTTCCTTGTGATATAGCAAACAAATACTATAAGTTTGCAATCAACCATATTTTGCTGTGAAATATAGCTAAATTTTTGCAAGGTACTTAATTCAATTGTCTTTTGGCAATAATGGTAGATTTTTTTTTTCAAAAATAAAGAAATATTCTTCAAGAAATTTAGGAATAACCCCTAAAACGGAAACTTACCATATATTCTGTCTGTAATTTTTAAAAATATTGGTATTATGGTATTATGATCTAGACATTGATTTTTTTCTCTTCTGCTATGAAAAATATGGTAAAATTATGACTTACTTTCCCCTAAGAGACCACATACAGCTGAATTTTCTAGGTTTCTGGTGTTTGTTTACTATCTAATAGTGATGGAAAATGGTAAAGAAATAAAACAGGCTGGACACAGAGGCTAATGCCTGTAATCCCAGCACTTTGGGAGGCCGAGGCAGGCAGATCACAAGGTCAGAAGTTCGAGACCAGCCTGGCAGATATAGGGAAACCACGTCTCTACTAAAAAAAAAAAAAAAAGTAGCCAGGTGTGGTGGCGGGTGCCTGTCGTCCCAGCTACTCAGGAGGCTGAGGCAGGAGAATCACTTGAACCCAGGAGGCAGAGGTGGCAGTGAGCCGAGATCACACCACTGCACTCCAGCCTGGGTGACAGAGCAAGACTCCATCAAAAAAAGAAAAGAAAAGAAAAGAAAGAAAAGAAAAACAAAAAGAAATAAAACAAAATTAAGTGATTAAAAGGAAACTTGTGAAAGAGAGGGTCATTCAGTAAAGTGTAGGGGAGTTGAGGGAGTTCAGGTAGAGGAGACATGCCTTTTCAGAGAAGGAGTTCCAAAAAAGCTGTGGGGTTTTTGCTGGCTCTGCAAAGATAAATTTCAGTAGAGATCATGGTAAAACATCCCATGGTACGTTTATGATGTTACTTATAAGCGGCACTGCAATGAATTTTACATATTGGCAAAGAACTAGAAGGGAATGTGAACACAAGAAAAGCGTTCATGTGTTGAAGTAGTAAAATAATAACTATTCATATTTCTTCTGTATTATTCCTTTGTTACTACACTCAGGAAAAATACAGAAGAAAAAATCAATAAATAGACAATACACTACATTAACAGAAAGAGATGGATTTTTTGTTTGTTTGTTCGTTTGTTTGTTTAAAGACTTTGTGTGAAGACCTAGAAGTATGCATATTATTTTCTCTCTTTAAGTTTTAAAATTTTGGAATAGGTCGGCTATCATTATCAGTGTCACCTATAATACTCTCAGAGTATTGTAAAAGTGAATATACACAAGATCGTTTGGACCCACACCATTTGACAGCAGATCACTTTCCTCTGTAGAGCTTCACAAGTATAATTTCACTTTTTGGAATCTAACATTGCTCCCTAAGATTAAAACATCCACGTGTGTTTGGTTTTACCAATTGCACTAAAATACGGTTTTATTTTTATGCTTTTGTTCTCCAACATTGATCATTTAAGGTCACTTTTCACTGTGCAATTTATTAAAATGCTGTTTTTTATCTTTTTCATACCCATCTTTGCCTGGCCTTCTTATTGGAGCCTCGGCAAGGTTTGAGCCGTATAAAGCAGTCATGGAACAGGAAAAAAGAAAAAGAATTCTTGATTGGAAGCAGTGAGAAAGCTTGGATTTCTCATTGCTTTGGCTATCACCGAAGTGCCCTCTGTGTGTGAAGGGCCATGGGCAGTGCTGAGTTAGTCACTAGACAGCAAAGAAAAACAGCAGTGACTATTGAGGACTTGACCAAGCTGACCGCTAGTCTCACCACACCCACCTCAGGCTTCACTAGAAGAAACAAACCAGCTCTGATGGGGATTTTTGACATAAATACTGTCATAAAGTCTAGTCACACGTTTCTCCTATGGTTTTCAAAGCAAGTGACTCAGCTGATCAGTTCTTTCCAGTCTAAAGTCACACTGGGACCTGAGAAGTCTCTGGTATTTAAAGCATGCACCTTGAAACTTAAGATGCTATGCTAGTACTGGGCTCAAAATGTCCTCTCCCACATACTCTGCTCCAAAACAAGGCTGCAATTTGGAAGAAGAGGCAAATGGCTATGTGGTCGGATGTATACATGTACCCACTCCAGACTCATTTTATAATCCAGGGCAGGGTTTCCTATATGTGACACTGTGTGTCTATGAGCCTATGACACTGAGACTCGGATGAACACCAGGGGACATTCTCACCATCTCCCCATGAGAAATGCTCATTTGTGCCAAATTTTTCATTCAAAGGACACTTTTAAGCAAATAAGGTAAATGAACACTCTTGAGGAAATAGTGTAGATGAATTGCTAGCATAACCTGTCTTCAAGTATTATACTGCCTTATTCTGCAGAAATACCTATTAGTAAACAGAAATAGATCTACACAAGTCTCTTTCCCACCCCTACTTCCTTTATAATTGTATAGGATTTCTGGTGAATCTGGAAGTGACACCCTGACCTCAGTTTATCATTGCATTTAACACTTGCTTTCTATAGAGGGCTTCTGGCAGCTGAGTTTGATTCCAGAGGTCAATCTCAAAACTTCTTACTGAATCCTATCTCACTTGATGTTAGCATCTGCCTTCCCCCAACCCCCTGTGATAATCAACAAGCCCATTTTGATTGGCTGTGGACACGCCATGGTTTCCAGCAGAGCCTGTTTGCAGAAATGCACTGAAAACCATTGATTAACTTAACACTTGTTTTTGCAAAAACATTTTGCTCACAGCTTCTGTGCACACACACATGCACGCACACGCGCGTGCACACACACACAAACACACACACACAAAAGCAGCAGCTAACACAAAAGCAATCTATCATTTTTAATCAGACCTTCAATCTGTCTTCTTCATCTACTTTGACCAAAAATGCTAAATAAGAAAATTGTTGAGTATTTCTCTCTGTTGTTTTTCATTCTTTTGTACTCAAAGTTCTACAAGAGCTTTATAGGGTAGTTTATTCTGAAAACCCACAGACTAGAGAGAAAATTCAACTGTAAGTTAGCCATGTGTTAGAGTTTTTCTTGCCACCATGGATGAAATGTAAAGGTGGCTTCATTATTAGTTTGGGGAAATAAGAGTCCCAATCCAGTTAGTATGAAGCAGCTAGTGTTCTGGAAAATGAACCAGGAAACTCTTCTCACCATCGTGAGTTGAGCTAACCTGATAGGCCGTGGGAAAGGACAGCATATTACTCTGGGTAAATGACAAGCACACAGAAAATAAAATTGTTTGGTTTTGCTTGGAATTGAAAATTGTTGAAGGTTGAAGACTTTAATGTAGGGAGTTTATCAACAGCCACAGAATCAGTGGCTTTATCACACAGCAGTAGGGTCTGCAAAAAGCCACTTCCTGCTGCTGAAATTATAGACCTAGAGATTTGGGTCCAGATTTTATACTCAGGAAGCCCTTGAAAACTTGTTTTCTGCTGTCATGCTGAGGGAATTAATAGATTAGTCATTAACCACTAAAATTTTTTAAGTATCCCCCAAAATATAGCCTCTAGTGAAAGAGCAGAGTGTCCTTAAATTTCATAATATAATGTGGAACACTTCATTTTATATGAAGGTCATTTGTAACAGGTTCTGAAGCAATGTTTTACATTGGGTAAACACCTAGTAAGTGGGTGGATCATTCCTTTGATTTAAACTTGCCTGACTTCCTGTAAAAGGAGAGGAAGTGACTATAGGCAGAGCTCAGGTTGGATAATATTTTTCCTGTTATGTATATTTTCTATTTGTTGTAATTTAGAATTCCATGGGCGTCCATACTGATATACTGTTCAAACCATTTTGTGAATTTAAAAAATACTTTAATTGGAACAAAAGACAAATAATTTAGAGACTTAAATATATATCCCTTTGTGGGGTTAATTTGGTTTTTACATTTTTTGCATATTTCTGTGAAAACATTAATTACAGTCATTGAATATTTATTAAGCAACTGCTACATAGTAAAATTATGTAAGGTAGGCAAAAAATGAAATGGTCATTAAATTCAATAGAGTCTATTCTTGTGGGCATTGGAGATACATATATAGAGTTACATATTTAGTGATTTATAGATACAGTTATTATATATAGTGTTATATATATATTGTTTGAAAAATCAGGGAATTGAGCATATTTACCACCTTTCAATTAATATCAGAACAGAATCTCTGACCTCAAGAATATCAGAATATTCTAAGGGAGACATGGAAGTAAAACAATAATCATAATATTGTGTGATACATTTACATAAAAATGTGCCCAAAATGTTAAGAAAGCTTAAAAGAAATGCTCTGAAGAGGACACTTAACTTTGTTGAGCAACTTCTAAAAGGTGGTGATTCTTGAACTAGGTCTTTCAAAAGTCACAGTGAGAGAGAAGTTTATTCCAGGCAAAGGGACAGCTCAGAGAACTTGGCTTTCAAAGGGATAAACAGATCAAAAGGGCTGGACTAGACTGTATGTAGAGATATGACAAGAGATTGGCTAGAAAGGAGGGCTGGAACCAGAATATTAAGGACTCATTCAAGTCCAAACTTTACAATAGATCAATTAGAAATAAATAAAGAACTTAAGACATAAAAGTTGCTTAGAAATTTTGGGTGGAAACAATATGGAGGATGAACTGAAGGTCAACCAAACTGGAACAGAGAGACTAGAAAGAATGAATCATCTTGTCATGTGATCCTCACCAGATCTTATTTTTTTTTTTACCATTTATTTTTAATGGTATGTAATACCCATAAGAAAGATGAGCAAATTCAGGAACCAGAGTTCAACTTATGCTATTCAAAAGTTGTTTGCCAGCTTGAATGTATTGACATGGATTGACTTAGCAAGCTACTAGCCCAGGAGTTGACTATCCTCACGTCTCTGCTACGAAATGCAAAACATACTCATTTCAACTACATTTTCAGAAATTTAAATAGTCATCACTTATCTCTAGGAGCCAATAACTGGAAGAAAAATAATTCATCTTAATTAAAATAAAGGGTTTATCTTGGCAAGATTAATTTGCAAATTATTCTTCCTTACTAAGGAATATCCACTGTTCTACTTTTAGATATTCCACAAACATCACATTATTTATTTTCAAAGCCTTTCTATGATTACTTAGGGCAGTTACATTAATCCCTTATAGAATTGCCATAAGGGACATCTCTAATGTCATTCTATATGGAATTCTTCTTTAACATTTACTATAGACTCAGACAAACAGGTTAAAATATTTTTCTATGCATTGGCTGCATAACCTTGGGCAAATTATTTAAACTTTTAATGGTTTCATTTCCTCCTCACTAAAATGAATATAGTAAAAGCCTAATAGATTGTGTGTAAGGATTTGGCAAGAGAGCTTATGTGAGGTACTTAACACAGTACCTGCCACTTAGTAAGCATCCAATAAATAAATCTTAGCTTTTATTGGCTTTCAAGGATGGGATTTGGCTTGGGAAAAGTTCATTTAAAAATGAAAAAGAAAAATAATCTGTGTTCCCACAGCGGAATAGACCAATGATTAGTGCCCATTGAGAAACATTGGCTTTGAGAAAAATTAGAAATCTTACCTGACACTAGCTTCACAAATGTTTTCCCTTTGAAGAAATGACCTCATTGGGGGAAAAGAGAAATCAAATCCCTAAAGATATAAATATCTGAATTTATGTTTTTCATGAACTGCAAGACCATAACTTTAAAAAATTTTTTGATGTCCTGAGAGGGCAGATTAATTATACATTTGAAAAATAAGACGATAACTTTTAATCAAGGAATATAAACATCTTCTTCAATACCTCCAATAAGCTGTAAGAATGATGCAATTCAATCTGAGAAAGATAGGCAAAAATAAATGTAAAGTAAGCTAGAAATAATTCTCCCAGTTTAAGGCTCTTTGACATATATCATTTGAGAAATTTAAACCTGTACTCAAAACATTAATATATGTAAAATATATATCATATAATATTTTAAAGGCTATTTTATGAAAAATGATGTAAACCATGAATTCATAATACAGTTAATATAAAATATATTTTTACCATTTAAATATGAAGAATTATTTTAAATATATGCAACGATATAGCAATATGTTTTTTGTTTAATTATGAAGATTCTTAGAAAGAAATTATAGAATAAATCTAACAAACATAAACAACTATTTAGAAAAATAAAATCATAACTTAAAATATTAACATCTTTTTAGTTTCCTTGTTTTTGATTTCTAAATTGTAATTACTGCCCTGCATCCAGTGCATAGAATTAATTTTTACATCCGTCATGTTTTTATAGCCAAGACCTGCAAATAAATAAGAGTGGTTTTCTCTACAGCAAAGGTCAACAGATTGAACAAAGTTAGAGAAGCTGCCCAGCATGAAATTTAATATTACAGGGGACAGCATTTTAATAAATGTATATAGAAGTTTCCTATGGAAGCAGATTTATGTGTGTACCTTCATAGGATCACTTATTTACAATAGCTTACAGTACATTTGCCAAAACCTACATCATACTAATGTAATGCTGCTTCCTACTTATACATGGGTTTTTAAAGTGATTTCCAAGTAGGAGCTATTATCCCTGCTTCATATACACAGTAAATGATGCCTACACACAAAAATAAACAGAAGTGACTTTCCCTAAGTTGCAAAGTTCATCAAGCCACCCAGAGAACATGGAAATATTAATTCCTTTTTTGCCCAAGAAGCATGAACACTGCTGTTTTCCATGTTTAAGGCCATCTGAGTATTAAATTAATATCACTTTTTATAGGCAGCATTCCAGAATCATTCAGAAGTTGCCATTCTCCACTTTTTGACCTTCAACTTCAATTTTAAATACTGTCAGATGTCTCTGAGGAGCCTCTGCTAAATATTGAGGAAGGCTTTTATCACTTCTAAGCTGTTTGCTTTATTGCATAAAGCACATCCTCCTGGAAATAAAAATTCACTTGAGCAAAAGAAAAGTTTTCAGAAATCTCTTCAATGAAGAGTTAGGTAGAGTGTGGGAATCCAGCCATATAGTGATTGCCAAAGCATAAATGGGCCTGGGATATTTTTCAAGTCCAACTACCTGGGAAGATGACTGCTTCTGTTGGTCAGAATGATTGACATTTTGAGCATAGCTGAAGGTTTAGAAACATTTTTTCCATTTTCAAGATGTAGGAATCAACTCTTCATTTACTTACTGTGAGTAGAGGGGTGAAATTTAGTATTACCACTTTATTTAGTAGCTCTCCTTATGTGACGTAAGTTGTGCAGAAATCGAGTTTCATTGATTACAGCTTCCACAGTGGGAGTATTGAAAATCATCGTTCAATTTATTAACTAAGAATTCAGCAGGACAGAATTTCATTCTCATTATTCCTTATATCTTAAAAATAAAGCAAATTCCACAATCAAATAAGTAATGCTATTTTCTACTATTAGGTATTAAATTAATATTTTGAAAAGAATTTCTACTAAGTGATTTTTGTGAAAGGTGGGTCCGGAAAGAACATTTCTACACTATGGAAATATCTGAGGTATGCTTTGTGGCTGCTGCAGCCTCTCCTGTCTCTTCTGTTTGTTCGTTGTGTGTTTCTCTCTGTTTCTTTTTCATTCATCAAATATAATGTTACTGTCTGGCATATAGTGGGTATATGCAAAAATCACAAATTATCTTCCTTTGAACAGATACAGTCTGTTTTTACTTGGATTATGAGAAGTTCTGAGTATGATAAGACTGACATAGCATATTTCATAGATAAAAGAAGATCTACCTTCAGTGGTTTGTACCTTTTTTATTGCAACATAAAACCTGGGAAAGGCAAATGCAATTCTTACTCATAAATATTAACCATTGTGTTTTCCTGTGACATACTTTCTTTTAAAATAGGCATGCTACTGACTACTAAATTCCATAACCCTTTTCAGATCTGTACTTTAATTTTCAAAAAGTACAAATGTAAAATAAGTGGAAAAAAATTACTATGCAGTGTCTTAAAATTATTATTTTTTTCCTCCTGGAAACAGCTGGTTTTAGAGCTCTCCAGTTTCCCCTGCTGGAGTTGATGAGGTCACTATCACCTCAACCAACAAAGGAAGTGGAATTCTTTTCAATGGCTTTGTTGCTTTGGATGTTATCCAGTGGATCAAGAAGAACATTAAATTTGATTCCTGACAGATTAGCAAAGGAGGAACAACTTTGTAAATACTCTGATTTGAAAACATATTTATTTACACATGCATACTGTCGGATATTGGGGGTCAAAATATATGCTTATTTACTTAGCAACTTTGGTACAAGAAGGATAAGTACTGTATATATATATCCTGTAGCTTCTGAAGTTAAACTAAATCACATTCCTTTTTATGATACATTTGTTATTTTGCAAGATCCAACTTCCCATTTCTCATAAGTAAAAATTTATTTTACCAGCCTTGGATTTGACTCTGAAAATATATTTGGGTCAAGCCATAATAAAATGAGACGATTTTTTTTTCTTAAAATACATGTTAATTTTTTTTAATTTTAAAAAACCTTTGAAGAATTTTGGCTACTGGAAGCAAGACCATTGAAAATGTGGTTTAATTTAGAAATGCCATAGAATACCAAAACACTCCAGATGTGAAACAGAAAATTACAACTGCATAAATAATTTTGCTGATGTATGTCAACATTGGTAACTGAAATAACTGTATCATATGTTTTATGTTGTGTCTTGGTTTGGGTGTTTTTTTTTTCTGACATATCTGCTTCCACGTAAGTATAGTTTACTGAGGGTTAAAACATATGTTGAAAATGGCAAATGTGTTTATTAGTTACATTATATTTATTAACTATATTAGCAATGTGAGAATTAGGAGCAAAATATAGATAGGCTAGAATATTGAGTACCATCTTGTACTTATTTCAAGGTGTTAATAAATTAAAATGAAATTATGTTGTGGACGAGTATGAGATGAAATTGTGAGACTGTACTAATTTGTAAAATTAAGAAGTTGTAGAACTGTGAACATCAACTATTGCATTATAGGAAAAAGTTAATTTAAAAGAATAGGACAAGGTAAACTTTTTAAAAAATTTTGCCGAAGTGGAATATAAGACAAAAAAGCATTTCCAGAAGTTTGACGTTCACTAGAAGCTCTCTCTGTGCCTCTCTTTTCCACCATTCATACTGTTAAAAAAAGACAATATTGAAATATTACCATCAGTATTATTGACTGTTGAAGACTGAGCCCTTGCTGTAAGTCAGGCACCATGCTGGATGCAGTAAATGTATGTCCTATTTCAAAGGTAAAGCCACTGCATCTTGCACACACAGTTTGGTTCAAAAGCTTTAAGAGTAACAAGAAGGTTTGCCCAAGCTTAGTCACATCACTGAGCAAAATCCACCGGATAGAATGAGGTTGAGATCTCTGAGAAAGCAAAATACTAATTGACAGTAGCAGTTGGCGGGTCATGTTTTTATCCTAATAGTTGTATAGCTGTGCTGACTTCAACTTTTTCACTTCAGAACTTTTCCCCAAGAGGTCCTTTCTCTTTGTGAAGTGGTCCTTCTTCAGTCTGGGACTCTTTCATTTACCTGATTGAGTCTTGCTCCATCGATACAGGCCCCTGTAAACCAACTTTATACTACAGCACTTCCCTTAACAAAACAGGTTGATTTATTTTGAGCCAATCTTAGAATATACAATTATGTGACAACATAAGGGATGGACTTATAGAAGCGATAGAAGCTGAATTTGCCATTTCTGTAGTGCATTCCGTATGTAAGTTTTGGAGTGCACTTTCTGGAAATCACATCATGGTCTATGTAAATGTAAGAACGCTCTTAATCTACAATATGGTCTCCTCTGTTTTACACTATACATGCAAATTTGAATGTGTTCAGATTAAAGATAGTGTTTCATAACGTATCAGAGCCTTGGATCAACTACAACAAACCTCATCTCTTTTCTTATGCCCTGAGATGTGTTTAAGAAAAAACAGGCAAGAAAGGCAGCGTTTCGGGTTCATAAACTTTCATCAAAGTGAGTTTTCCATGCAGTTTCTTGCCAGGTGATCACAGGCTGCTTTTTTTTTTTCTTTCTTTCTTTTTAACCTCTGTAGAAATTTAACAGCTGAGACATTCCCTTTAGATATTTACTTTTTCTAAATAGAGAATGTGGAAGATTTTTTTTTTCAGTAAAGCAGTGCCCCAGCTAAACAACTTATATGAATATGTATATTGAAGGTGAATTTCATACTATAAAATACATGTAAGCACTATTTTGCTAACACCTTAGATTTAGATAATTTCTTGAGGCATAGTCTATAGGAAATCTGATGGCCACAAGTGGTATAAGCTACCTTTCTTTATTGAAATAAATTACAATTGATGGACATTTGTGTGCATATTTTACAGACTTTTGTGAACTTCTAAAAATGCATGACGTTTTTGGCTGGAAATAATATATTAATTTAAATTTCTTCAAAGTTACCTCTTACAACAAGTGCCATCTGACATTTATTGGGAAACAAGCTTATTTTCACCCAAACCAATTTGGAAATATTTTATGTTATAGTATTTGTTGCTTTCATTGCAATGGACAATAGGTCTATCTTTATGGCTACATTAGCAAATGTCTCCACACTATGTCTCCACACTCCAAAAGAGAAATCCTACTAGATCTTAAGAACTATTTATTAGTCTACTGAATGGATTCTACCTCATTCATTTTTATCTTTAGATTAATTAGATACTCCATCTATCTTCTCCTACACTTACACAGTGCCCCAAGAACTTCTAAATACGCAGTGAGTACGTGCAACAATAGATTTACAATATCTTACTCTGCCTCTCAAAGACTAATTGTGAACAGGAAGATATATATAAGTGTTGGCACTAAGAAATAGTGTCTCCTTGGGCATGTCTGTTTTCTCCTCTGGTGACTGGTGAACTTAACTAGCCAACAGAGATGCTTTGTTTGTTTGAACTTGAAAAATGTCCTGTGTCCCTGGACTCCAATTGGGTCCTGCCTTCCTTCTTATTTCCAGCCACTTACCCATATACAGTTCCTGTCGAGTCTGGTGTTGGGGTTACAACATAATGATGTTTTCGAACCTGCCCAACGCCAACACTCCATTTTGAATACATCAAGCTAATGTCCAAGCTAGATTTTTCCCCTGTATAATTATGCAAGAAAAAAAGCTTCTATAAAGACTGAGAACATGAACTTAAGATACTTAAACATTTACTGTCAATATTAGGAAAGCAAAGAATTCTATATCCAGTTGAATGAAAGAAATTATATAAATGAAGGAAATTGTTGCTTACAAGTTAGACTTTCTGTGGCGGTAAATCTGTTAATTAATTTGAGACACAGAAAGTATTTACAAATTTCAGCTTTAGGAAAACAAACCTATTCTGTAAGCTTAGCCCAGAAAGAATGTTGTTAATGATGGGAAAAATTATAACAATGGCTGATTTCAACCTCTAAAGAAGAGATAACCAAGTTATTCTATCTCAACTTACACTGAATCTCATTGCAGAAAAATTGCCTTTCAAGTAAACAGAAATTTGAATATGAGTCTATAATACAATAGACAAAAAAGTAAAATTATTCATGGTAATATTATAACAAATGGAGAAGGTGAGTGTTAGGATACACTTTTTTTAAAAGCAATATAATTCATCCTCAGTGAATGTTGACAAAATAGCTTCAAAATTGCATCAAATGAAGGCATGTTGTGCAGGCATTTAGCTAGGAATTTCCTGACTTTAGCCCCTAGATGACCTCATGGTTAAATGGCTAAAGCAAACTAAAAGGAATTTAAATCTTACGTGTTTATGGTGCCATTCACACTTTATTTATTTATTTTTGTTAGCGTGGATTAATATAATAAAACTCAGGTACCACACTGAGGAACAACTGCAATACTTTGCGATGTTACATTGGAAAAAATCAGAAAATCTTTTCAGTTTTTATCTTTTTATGTATGCTATTTTCATCAATTTAAAGTGTAACAGAATTAACTTATGAAGATAGAGCCACAATTCAGAAATATCATAATTGACTTGTTCCTAAATTCAAATGAAAGTTGCCAGTTGAACATCATTCTTGAGAGAATCCTTTTTTTGTACACTCATATGTTAAAAATTATTTAAAATTTGAGAAAAAAGTGAAAATAGAAAATACACATTTTCTTGTATAAGAATTGCCACAGTAATGTAATCTTTAACCCTCAACAACTTGTCAGGGCATGCATAACACAATAACAGGTATTACTGGATGTATTTGGTATATAGAAAAGAAAAAAATGTTTTACATATAACATCTATTGCATCTGGAAGTGTAGAAACTGCTTAGCAACATCCCCACACATTTAACTGACAGTGCAAACAATATTAGAATTCAATAGAAAAAATTCAAGCATCCTATTTACTCATCTTGAATGAAATATTCATTCAATTTTGTATTTTTTATAAAAGAGAATGTGATCTTTCAACAGCTTCATCTGAAACCATTTAAAATCAAAGTTACGATCCGAGAAGCTATTTTACTTACAGCATATTTATATAGCTTTAAACTTCCTTGACCCTTATTTTTTTAAAAAAAAGATCAGGTGCGTCTTACCAAGGAGGAACTATTCCAAGACCCAGGAAAGCGAATTTCCACCATTTCTACGTGTAATATGTGCTTAAGCTCGTTCATTTGCATTTCAAAACTTCTCAATCTCTAAAGGAAAAAAAAAAGTAAACATATCTTGTTTAGACCTTCCTGCTGTTTTCAGTTTCAGTGTATCTCATCACACACACACACACACACACACACACGCACACACACATCATCATCATGATTCTTAGCATTAACATTTGTGGTTAAGGACCTTAGGCCATCCATCCGCATACATTGGCATTCGGAAGGCCCACAGCCAATCTTTAATATGGGAACACTAACATCAGGACCAGGTCTAAAACACTAAACAGATGAAACTCAAGATATCGGTTGCCCTAGTTTCAGAACAGCCACAATTTGTTTATAAATTGTTTTCAGAGAACCCTGCTGACTGCCACCAACTAAAGAGGAACTCCAGGTATGTGACAATGCTGAAAATTACCACCAGAGGAAAAAAAAAAAAAAGAGCTTGATTCACACTTGGGCTATCGTCATGGCAAAATACATTTACTTTCTATTCTTTGCCTTTAGTTTGATGCTTTATATTGAATGAAAAATTTATGCATTTTAAAGCCATTACAACTTAGAACCTTAATTTCTAATGCATAGTTCAGAAAAGGAGAGACTCACCGACTACCTTTCTTGTAGGCTTCCAGGGTGGGTAAAATGAGTATTCGCCAAAATCTATTCTACTCTATCCTCCCTCAGCCACAGTACCTTACCAATGTCATGTCATGTAATTTTTTGAACTGTTCTCTGATGTGGGCATGGCTCTTAGCCCCACTTTGAAGACAAGGAAACTGAGACAGGTAGTTGATTCTCCTAGAGCCATAGGTCAATGGGTAACACAAGCCAAACCAAACATTTTGGTACTAAGCTTTTCCCACAGAACAACATTGTCTTTCTAATAATCCGCCCTGATTAATTTCAAAAACAAGAGGCTATGTAAATTAAATTCTAAAATATTGAAAATTCTAGTTTCACAGGTTTATTGTGTGTTTGAATATCAATAGACTCTCTTATCCATTCTCCATTTACCTGACTAAGCAGAATCTGATGTGTTTCAGTCATTTTTAACATTCTTGAGATTTCTCAATCTGGGGGTGTGTATATTTTTTATATATTCTTTTCCTCTGAGGTATTGCTTCTCCTACATTGGTGTTTTCGAAGTGAGTGCCGTAGAACCCTACATGTCAAAGACACTTTGGGGACCACCGTGGAAGATCATTTGTGGGGAGGTCATCAGGGTGGTCTTTGGACACTTTCACTATTCTTTAATATATTGAGATACATATCCTATCAGTTTTTAAAAAGTGCTTGGTGGAAAGAAAGAAAGTGAAGACGGAGGGAGGAAGGAAAGGAGTGAGGAAAGAAGGAAAGTAAGCAAAGAGGCACTTTCCTAGACCATGAAGGTGTTACTATTAATAAGAAATTTGAATTTGGAATCAAGAGGTGTTAGTCCTGAGGTCTTCCTGAGATAAGAGATACTGAGAGAACAGAATAGAAGTGTTCATAATAATATTGGATCCTGTATCATGCAATTGTGGTGACCTGTCTGACATTTAAGGAATAAAGGTGAACTTTGAATGTCTTAAAACAAACAAGCTTTTCTTTTGCAGGAGTTCAGCCTTAAGCAAAAGGAAGGTCTGTGCAGTACTACAAAGACCTTCCAACTTCTTGAAAGCCCTACAAGACCGTGTATAATGCACGTCTCACACTCCACTAACACGAGTCTTCCCCACGCCTATGTTTCTGACTTAGAGAAATTCCAAAGAATCCTCATTTTTTTTTCTATGATATTGCGGCGGCATAGCAGTGAGGTGTATTATCTAAGACAATGGTCTTCGACCATGGGTAACTTGCCCATCACCCCCGACTCTCGGGGGATATCAGACAATGTCTGGAGACTGATACCTAATGTATACAGCTCAGAAATGCTGCCAAATATCCTACATTGCACACAACAGTCCCTGCAAAGGATTTTTCCAGCACAAATATCAATAGTGTCAAGGCTGAGAAACTGATCTAAGAGCACACGACTGTGAACTTGAGTACTGCTTGGATCCCCTCGCCTAATTCTATGTTCCCCCACATCTGAGCTTCACAGTGAACTTATAAAAGTTTTCTGCAAATGTTACCATTGGTTGTAGATGGGGCAGAATAAATGGAAATACATCTGCTTTCCAGAGAGAATTAGGAAACTAGAGAGAAAGGATGGAGGCAAGATGCCATTACTATCGAAGGTCCGGTTAACCACCTTGGAGACCACTGAAACATCATCCCTCCAACGGTGTGTTATTAGGTTTTTCACATTTTCCAACTTTATTTAAATTCAATGTTTCCCTCTTAATAGGCTTTTGGACATTCTTGACAAGCCTTTTTACATTTCTGAGTTTCACTCATGCTGTTACATGTAGCTATAACTTTTTCAATGTCATTGCTAAATAAGTATCCCATTAGATGAATATACTCCAGTTTATTTTTCTATTCCACTGCTGTGGATATTTGTCGTTTTCAGTTTTCCACTATTAAAAATATTCTGTGATAAACACTCTTGGTGCACTTACAAAAAGTTATATATATTATATATATAATTTATATACTAAAACGTGTATATAAATATAAATTATAAAATAAATATAAAAATAAATTACATATAAAATACACATATTCACTATATATATTCGATGTGTATACACACACACACACACACACCTTTGAATAGAATTGCTAGGTCACAAAGCATAATCATATTTAAGTTTATTAATAATTTCAAAAGGCTTTCCAAAACAATTATGTCAATTTACATACCCAACAACCATCAAAAGTATTCCAGCGACCTACAACTTCATCAGGATTCAATATTGTTTGACATTTAAATTTTTGCCAATCAGAGAGATGTAAACAACTCATTAAAAAATTTTTCATTTGCTTTGATAACTGATTAGATTGAACTTTTTTCTCCTATAGTCATTCTTGATTCTTCTTTTGTGAAATATCTGTTGGAGTTTTCGTCTGATTTTTCTAATGATTATATCTCATTGCCTCATTTATATACATATATATACACACATATATATGAATATGTATTAGTATTTACTATTTATCTGTCTATTTCTATAAAGAAAGAGAGATTCTAAATAATAATCCTTTGGGAATTGTATGTGTTACAGATATTTTCTTCAATGTTATGCCTTGTCTTTTCACACTATGCATTATTACATTTGATATACAGATGTTATTTTATGTGTTAAAATTTATCATTTTTTTCTTTTATTGACTGCACTTCTTGCTTCTTGTTTAGTAAATCATTTTCTATCCCAAGGTCACAAATATTTCTGAAAATATTTTCTAATATTTTATAAAATGTACTTTATAAAAAGTTTTATAGTTTTACCTTTCACATAATGGTCTTTTATTTCTCTGGAATTAATTTTTGTGAAATGTGAGACAAGGGTCCTTTTTTTTTTTTTTTTTTTAGTATTAATAGCCAATTCTCCCAGCCTCATTTAATAAAAGAGCCATCAATCTGCAGTGATCTGTAATAACAGCTTTGCCATAAATCAAGTTTCCATGTTAGTGGATCTGTATCTGTATTCTGTATTTTGTCCTATTGATCAATTAATCTACTCCTTAATCAATATAATAGTCTTAATTACTATAGCTTCAAAATTAATCTTGACATCTGGAGGGTAAATTACCTCCACCTTTTAGTTCTTCTTCAGAACTGTCTGCACCACTCTTGGCTTTCTGCTCTCCCATATCAATTTCAGAATCAGCTTGTTAAGTTTATATGCACACAGAGACATGCACAAACCTGTCCTGATTAAGTTTGCACTGAGTGTTTATATTAATTTTGGTGGAAACTGCCATGTTTCTGGGGCTTTCTTTTTCCTAAAGGGAAAACATTCTTTCATAAAGTTTTTTAGATAAAGTGTTTCAAAAACATTTTGTAAGATTAATTCCGAGGTTATTTTAATATCCAAAGCTATTAGAAGAGGTAGCAAATACATTTGCTGCTTATGTTGATTGCTCAGAAATATAACTGATTTTTGTACATGATTTTTCAATCTAGTCACAATAAAGATGTTTTATAAATTTTAAAAATCTATCCTTTTTTATGATAAAAATTTATGTTATTTTCATTTCATCCTTTTCAGACTTCATATTATTTATTTTCTTTTATTTTTTCACTACACTATCAAGGTCAGTATTATTATCATAAAGTAAGATGTTTGCTCTACGTTTTTGTCCTTTTGTTTTGAGAGGGATAGTGTATGCAAAAATTATAAAAGTAAAAAAAAATGCCTGTTTTTAGCTTGTCAGATTTTATTATGACCGGATGTTAAATTTCACGAAACTATCTCTGTATTTGATTTTTTTCCTTCAATCTGTGAATATGGTGAGTTGGAGTATGTTAATTCCTAATTAACTAAACATATAGTAGTTCAAACATAATCCAAGTTAAGGTCAGGATAGGTAATGAGGTTGCTGAAGACATCTCTCTCCTCTGAAGAGTCATTTAGAGACAGTCTGACAGTGATCCTTCCAACATTTGTTTTTCAACATCAATTTGATACTAGTTATCACCACTGCAACCCAGGAATAAGGAGAAACACACGTGGTAGGTTTTCTAGGTCAGACTTGGAATTTGCACACACCGGTCTGTCTCATGTGATTTTGGATAAAACTCAGCCACATGGGAAATATTCTATAGCTTGGTGCCCAGGAAGAAGTAAGTATAAATTTGGTGAGAAACTAATCACCTTGTTGTATGAGGTGGATAATATGAATTGATTTTCTAATTTTCAAGCAATCTTTGATTGAATAATGTACCCAACTAGATATATTTTGAATGCTAATCTTGATTTGATTGGCTAATAATTTTATTGGACTTTTGCATCTTTTTCCAAGATGGAGATTGGTCAGAATTTTTCTAAACACAGTGAGGTATTATTGTTGCTATGGTCAAGATTCATTTTTCTTTATTTATATATTTCCTCTTACCCTCCTTTATTTTGTGAATTGATCTTAAATCTTTTCCTTTGAAGAATTACACATAAACGTGCACATACAAACACACACACACACACACATATAGTGCAGGCTTAGAGGAAAGTATTTTTTATTGTCTTCCTTCACTTTTAAAGAATAATTACATTGAACATAGAACCCCAGGTTAGTAGTTATTTGTTTCATCACTTTAAATATTCATTCCATCTTCTCTGGCTTCAATTACTTAAAGTGAGATGTTAGCTATCAGGATTTGTATTCCTGCCCTGAAGGCAATAGGTCTTTTTCCTCTTTGTGCTTTTGTGTTTGGCTTTCTGCATGTATTTGAAAGCTCTGCTATCAAGTGTATGCATGTTTAAAATGATTATGTCTTTATGACCCAGAAGAAGGAATATTAGTGGGCATAAAGGGAGATTTTTTATAATAAAGACTATGTTAACTACTATTAACATAATGATTTCAGGTTTCTTATGATTTGCTTTCGCATGGTATATCTCTTTTTCTATCCTTTTACCTTTAGTCTATCATTGCCTTTATTTAACGTTTGTTTGCTGTAGCCAATACATAGTTGATTCTTGCTTTGTTTCCAATTTGGTTTTTACCAGATTGTATAATCCTTTTACCTTTAGTCTATCATTGCCTTTTATTTAAAGTTTGTTTCCTGTAGCCAATACGTAGTTGATTCTTGCTTTGTTTCCAATTTGGTTTTTACCACATTGTATAATCCTTTTACCTTTAGTCTATCATTGCCTTTTATTTAAAGTTTGTTTCCTGTAGCCAATACATAGTTGATTCTTGCTTTGTTTCCAATCTGGTTTTCTCTGTTGGTCACTGGGAAGGTCTAGAGGCTTTTCCACTAATGTAATTACGAGTATGTTAGAGTTGTAGCATAAATTTTTATATATGCTTTCCAGTTGCCTCATCTATTCTTCTCTGTTTATCTGCCTTTTTTTGAATTGAGTGCTTTTAGTATTTTATTTTATCTACTGTGGTAGACTGAATAAAGGTAGCCCCAAGATGTTCACATTCTTACCCCCAAAAGCCATAAATATGTTACAATACATAGTAAAAGGGACTTTACAGATGTGATTAACTTAAGTAAATTGAGATGGGAAGATTTTCCTGTTTTAGCCAGATGGGTTCAATATACTCACAAAGTCTTATAAGAAGGGGGCAGGAGGGTCACAGTCAGTAATAGGAGGTGTGATAACGGGAAAAGGATATTGGAGTGATGTGAGGAAAAGACCACAAGCCCAGGAATGCAGTCAGCCTCTAGATGCTAAAAAAGGCAAGGAAACTGTTTCTCCTCCTACTCCTTCTCAAAAGAAGCAGCCCTACTAGAATCTTGACTTTAGTGATACTGACTTTGGGCTTCTGAACCCAAGAACTGGAAGAGAATAAATTTGTGTTGTTTTAAGCCACTAAGTTTCTGGTATTTTGTCACAGAGGTCATATGAAACTAACACAGATGTTGGCACCTGGGAGTGGGGTGCCATTGTAACAAATACATGAAAACAATAAAAATGCTGTAACCAAAACAAATACAAATATGAACCTGGCTTTGGGATAGGATAATGGGCAATTTTGAGGGCTGTGATAGAAAGTCTAGATTGTATTGAAAGAACGGTTAGAAGAAGTATGGATGTTAAGACTCTTGGTGAAGACTCAGAAAGAAGTGAGGAGCATGGTGGGGAAACCTAAAGCATCTTCAGGCATAGCTAAATCATCATGAACAGACTGTTGGTAGAAGGAAGAATGTTAAAAGCTCTTCTGGTGCAGACTCAGAAAGAAATGTAGGACATGCTCATGGAAACTGAAAGGAAGGAGATCCGAGTTACATAGTTTAAGAAAGCCTCATGAGTTGTGTCCTATACTTATGTGGAGAACAAACTACTAGCAAGTAATAAACTTGGGCATTTAGCAGAGGAGATCTCCAAGCCTAGTGTTAGAGATGTGGCCTGGTTTCCTCTGGCTGCCGATAGAAAAATTTAAGAGGTAAGAGCTCATTTGAGGAAAAAACATGAAGTCCAAAGAAACAGGATTTGATGAATTGAGAGATTCTCAGCCTTTCAGATTATAACAAAATCCTAAATTAGATTTGCTATCCACAATGCATGCTCTAGAGAGAAAGCCAATGTGTACCTAGACAGCTTTTGCTAGCACCTTGGAAAGATCAATCAAAAAGTCAAAATGTTTCATCACATGGAGGATTAGCCATTGTCTCATGGATCTTTTAAGCTATCTCAGCAGAAGCTAAAAATATAGATGGGAGTATCCAGGAAAGATCTGTGGAGAAACCTCTGATCTAACAGAGTGATCCCTATGACTTACACAGGAGACCCACAAGGTTTTCACGCATGTCAGTAAATGCCCTGACAACTTGGACTGAGAGAAGCAGAAAGGAGACAAAATGAAAAAGAAAAAAAAAACCTGTCAGACTCTCAAAACACACAAACAGAAAACAGACTATTAAAACTACTCAGCTTCAAGCACATGGTACCCTTCATGAGGAAGAAATGATGACTTCAAGGATAGAGCTGTGGGCCCAGAGGGCAGAGCCTCAGACTACAGAAGATTACTAAAATTAAATGGGGTTTAATGGATCATTGAACTCCAACTGGGCAAACTCCTTGAAATTAAATGGGATTTTCCTAGTTGGATTTCAAAATTGCTTGCATGTGTTTTTTTTCTTTCTTCCCCTTTGAAATATCAATTAAAAATTATCTTATATTTCTTTTATATTTTCCACCTTATCTCAGTGCTGTATTCTGGATTTTCTGAACGCTAACTTCCTGTTTACTAATTTTTTTTATTAAAATAATATGTTCAAATATTCTCATTGAGATTTTCATGTTAATCAGATTGTTTATTTCTTGAAGTCTTATTTATTTCTTTATAAAATCAGCTTGGTCATTTTTCATACTGTACATTTTTATAATGCTTATTGGCACAAATAGTGCCAATGCCTTCTTGATTCTATAATTATGTTATACATATAGAGTTTATACTATAGAATTACGGTGTTCTCATAGTTACAGCTTTAGAAATCTTTCTGAATATATAGTTTTTCTTTGTTTTGCTGCTGCCTCTTATTCATAATGCCTTGGTTTTGTGTGTATGTGTCATAATTTTTTGCCTAAGAGCTCATGATTTCTCGGAATTTACCTGTGAAAATTCTTTGGAACTGGAGAGGAAGTTGTGTGTTTTTGCAAAGAAGATTTGACTTACTCCTTCAAAAAACCGGAGAGAGAATAAGCCCAGGATCATTTAGAGTGGTATTACTTTGACAGATTAACTAGTATGGATTTGTGTTGCAAACCCGTGTGAGGGATACCTTATAGCAATGAATTATTAAGGAAGATTTTTTTTTCCTATTTGTAATACAATCACCCTTTGTTTCAGACCATTGGTGGGAGGATTGATAAGTTTATTTCTAGTCCATTAAACTGAGAGTATATACTTTGAGTGCCAACTTTAGGAAGGCTCTTTTTTTAATTTTTTTTTTTTTTAGTTCTGGAGTACACGGGCAGGATGTGCAGGTTTGTTACATTGGTAAACGTGTGCCAAGGTGGTTTGCTGCACCTATCAACCCATCACCTAGGTATTATGCACAGCATGCATTAGCTATTTGTCCTAAAGCTCTCCCTCCCCGCAACCCACCCCTAGACAGGCCCCAGTATGTGTTGTTCCCCTCCCTGTGTTTATGTGTTCTCATTGTTTAGCTCTCATTTATAAGTGAAAACATGTGGTATTTGGTTTTCTGTTCCTGTGTTACTGTGCTGAGGATAATGGCTTCTGGTTTCATCCATGTCCCTGCAAAGGACATAATCTCACTCATTTTTATAGCTGCATAGTATTTTCGTAGTGTATATGTACCACATTTTCTTTATCCAGTCTGTCATTGATGGGCATTTGGGTTGATTCCATGTCTTTGCTATTGGGAATAGTGCTGCAATGAACATACTTGTGCATGTATCTTTGTAATGCAATGATTTATATTCTTTTGGGTGTATATACCAAGTGATAGGGTTGCTGGGTCAGTCAGATGGTATTTCTGGTTCTAGATCTTTGAGGAATCTCCACACCGTCTTCCACAATGGTTGAACTAATTTGTGTTCCCATCAACAGTGTAAAAGCATTCCTATTTCTAGGAGGTCTCTTTTTAACTTTTCCCCATTGAGAGGGCCCTGATTTATCTGATGTCCTTCAGGCCCCCAAACAACCATAAAAACTAAAATTTAAGTTTACCATTGCCCTCAAGTTATAAGTCATCTTCAGTGTTCACCTTTTAATGGAGTGCTTTCTACACTTTTTTGCCAAATTATTGAGGCATTTAAGAACATGGTTCCATATATTTTCAGCATGTTTAGCTTTTTTAGCAAAACAGCAAGCAAGCTTGGGCTCCTAGAGTACTTTCATCCGAGGAATTAAAATCAACCTCACTTTTATACAGCATATTTGTTGTCATGAAGGCAATAAACTAATTAATAAATACTGTGCCTACTGTTTATATATCAGTGAGGTTATACCATTTCAAATATTAGAGTAAGGATATCTGTAAAATTCTGCAAAAGGAATTTTTAGCCTAATGTGTCTACTACTTATATCATCCTGATATTTGCAAAAATAATGTTTTCCCATAACTCAAGATAGAATGATGGCATTTGAAAAAGGCAAGCTTTTTTTGAACGGTGAATAAAATGAACATACTGGAAAAAGCCAAATTAATAAATGGAAAATCCCAGTGTAACCTCCTCAGACACACTCATATTCACCCAATGAGAAACAATTGTTCACCAGCAAATTACATTTTCTTGACTTGCATAATGATTTCCCATGAACGAACAATCACAACCTAATTTTGCAATTGCACAATTCATTCCTCCATTGCATCCAAGTGAGTCATTCCTGCATTAGGTAGGCAAAAGGTTTGAGGTTAAAATGCCATGACCAACAACAGCTCCAAACGGATTTAATTACAAGAATCTAATTATTCACCCTAGAGATCCTGCCTCAATGTCTTTAAGGCAAATAAAGTTTCGTTTCTATCTCCGTATCTATAGCTAGGAAAGCTAAACAGCTTATTTGTGGTGGCATTTTATAACCAACTCTTAAAAAAAAAGATATTGCAAATAATATGAACTATTAACTTTGAATAAGCTCTCTTTGTATAAAACTGTATGTAAATATGAGTTCCCCAAAATATAATAATAGGTACAATGTCATTTCAATAGTTCTAATGTTGTTACTAATGTAACTTAAGCATAAACTATACCATATCTCTGTGAGTGTCCTAGTTTCCCAGATCAATCAGGTTATTTCGTTATAATGTACATACCTGGAAAATAAATTTCAGGGACATCTTAAAAATAACCTCCCGGCCGGGCGCGGTGGCTCACGCCTGTAATCCCAGCACTTTGAGAGGCCGAGGCGGGTGGATCACGAGGTCAGGAGATCGAGACCATCCTGGCTAACATGGTGAAACCCCGTCTCTACTAAAAATACAAAAAAATTAGCCGGGCGAGGTGGCAGGCACCTGTAGTCCCAGCTACTCGGGAGGCTGAGGGAGGACAATGGCGTGAACCCAGGAGGCGGAGCTTGCAGTGAGCCGAGATTGTGCCACTGCACTCCCGCCTGGGTGACAGAGCGAGACTCCGTCCCAAAAAATAAAAAAAAAAATGACCTCCCAAAAGTAAGAATTAAGCATTCGCCATGAAACAGTAATGCTAATATCTTATATGATATTGATTAGTGTGTAAAATCTACATTGAGCTCAGCTTTGCTTGTTAAATTTCCATCTAAGGTAAACTATGCCAAGCCCTTCAGAATGTGGTCCCATTCTTGCCATCTTTATGACTACTTTTTTTTTTTTTTTTTTTTGAGACGGAGTTTCACTGTTGTCACCCAACTGGAGTGCAATGGCACGATGTCGGCTCACTGCAACCTCCGCCTCCTGGGTTCAAGTGATTCTCCTGCCTCAGCCTCCCAAGTAGCTGGGATTACAGGTGGCCACTAGCACGCTCAGCTAATTTTTGCATTTTTAGTAGAGACGGGGTTTCACCATGCTGGCCAGGCTGGTCTCGAACTGCTATGACTACTTTTATTTGGTGCTCATGAAATGCTTGATATTTAAATCAGGTTTTTAATTTCAAATTGCAATACGAAGAATATTGCCAAAGTGACAGGTTAAATCAAAATGGAACACAACCCTATGGTGTTAGAACCAAAGGGATTTAAAGAACCAAAGAGATTTGGGAGTCTCCTTGTACAGGTAAGCAAATAAAACCCTAAGTTGCAAAGTTAATAATGGCTGAAATTGCAACCTGGGATTTTGTTATGCAGTGTTCATTCCCTTCACAAACAATTCCATATTATCTCCCCTATTCAAAATTACATCATTTAAACCTACTAAGAATAAGGGTCAGTCTCACACCTGCTTATGATTTAAGATTTTTCCACAGAGACACAAAGAACAAAAGCCTAAAGGTGAGATATGAACATCAGATCTCTCTGCATTGAGCTTAACGTGAGTTCTATACAACCAGAGGACTTTTAGTATTCAACTCAGATACGCACCCTATATTTATGCTGAAACAAATCACTACAGGCTTTATGAACTTAGAGTTAGCAAATGACATGAGAGGGAAATGAACCCTATCTACTCTCATTGCTTTAAATGGTAACTAGAAAACTCCTTGACTACATTTTACATAAATCAAAATTTGAATATATTAACTCTTATCCTGAAACCATCCTTGAAAAATTCCTATTTTATGCAAATTCATAGAATCACAGAACATTAAAAGAGCCTTGAGATGATCTGGTGAATCTACCTGCTTCTTCTGTAAAGGAGAAGACTAAACCACAATTGGCTTAAGATTTTGTTTTTGTTTTTGTTTTTGTTTTTGTTTGAAGGGGCGGGGACGGAACTGAAGTTAACAGAACTAGAATTAGAATTAGAATTCAAGTTGTCTGACTGCCTAGCCAATTGTTATGAATTCTCCTGTTTTCAGGGACAATGAAGACATTAAGTCATATTAGTTTTACATCCTCTCCAATCATTCTTTGGAATACTGTGTTTTATTTTTAGTTCAAATCACGAGTTGATCATCATGGTTTCTAATTCCAATACCCAGATTACGTCAGTCTTATGATTAAGGCATCAAATTGTTCTCTTTCATTTTTAAAATCTTGCTCTCTTACCAATACCACAAGTGAAGAGTTGCATAACGTTTTTGAAACTGAAGAGTATTCTGCTTCTTAAAAATCACTTCAGTTTGTTCAGCCCTGAAAAAAATAGGCATGACTACTTTTTAATAACAGAAAAGAAAAACACTCACAACCAGAAATTTCCTTTGTTTTATACCATACAAATGCTTGTAAAATGCTTTTCCATTCCCACCATATCTATTTTGTTTGATTTAAAATATTTGACAGAAATGAGCAAACTCTCGTATCGTTAGATTTGGCTAATACTGAAGTTTTAATTGACTCATCAAAACATAGTACCAGCATATTGGTTGATTTTATACTACTTTTGAATACATTGAACTGCTACATATGAAGAGATCCTTAAATTTAGTTGTGAATGATGATTTTAAAAATTAGCAAAATTTAAATGTGCATTGACAAATGCAGTGGTCATATTCAATATGATCATATATAATAGTCATCATCTTAATTTCTTCTTCTATCCAACTACTTTTATTAAGTATTATAAAAAGTCAAGAAGTTCTCTAAAAATTTTATTTAATATACAATTTTACATTGCATGAAATATTTTTAGAAACATGTCTAGTGAGGAAAGTTGCATTAAACCATTTAGAGCCAATGAATGAAAAGTCAGGTTGGATAGTATTAAAAACAACTAAAGATTTCAATGATAGAAACACCATGGGGTCCTAAGCCAAGGACCTTTACTTGCTCCTAGGGTCTTGACTCCAGAAGCAATTGTGCAGATGGGGGTGGGATGGAGATTGTATTAGTTTCCTAGAACTGTTAAATACATTTTTAATTGAAATAAATTTTCATCTTATTAAGTTATTTTCATGCAACAAGTTTTTCGCTTTTCACTTTTAAGATCTTCCTTGCATTCTTGCTTATAGTTTTTATATCTCTATTGACAGTTCCCATCTCTTCATTCATTACAACTGTTCTTTTCCTTCAATTCCTTGAAAGTCCTATCTGTTAATCTCAGCATCTTGTTCTTCTTAAAGTCTACTTCTATTGACTTATTTTGCTCTTGAATATGAATCACATTTTCCTGTTTCTTCATATGTCAAATAATCTTCATTTATACTTGAAATTTTGAATGACACTCTTTAAAATTGAAGTTTGGAGATTCTATAGATTCCTCAGAAAAGTGGTGAATTTTGATCTTGTAGGCAATTAAATTTCTGGTTGATTACTATGTACTTGTGGAAAGATGGTCACACAGATTCACTTGTGTGATTCTGTGTTGGTTTTGCCCTTGTTCTGAAATGAGTCCTTTGATCCTGAGACCAAAACTTTATTCCTTAATGGGGTTCCAGTTGTGGGTTTCCACTGGTTTCCTTATATTCCCTCATGAATGCACAGTGCCAACCAAGGATTTTCTCAGCACTCGAATGCATATTTTTGAAGCTCCTCTCCTCTGTTTTACCCTTCTACTTAAGATTTCCCTCTTCATTTCTAAATATTGCCAATGCCCTAGGTGGGTGCAGTGGCACATGTCTGTAATCCCAGCTACTCAAGGGGCTGAGATAGGGGGATTGCTTGAGCCCAGGATTTCAAGACCAGCCTGAGCAACATAGCAAGACTAAAATAAAATAAATAAACAATTAAATAGTTAGGAAAAAAAGAAAAATAGTATAAACAAACACACAAACAGTATGGCTGTCCTGAATTCTGTTTTCTTAACATCTCAAACCCAAAAAGCTGAAGTTTCTGGTTGAGTTCTAGATGTTGCTGCTTGAGAACTGGAGGTCCCCTCAGAGGAAAAGCTGTATCAACGTGGTTATATCCCAATGTAGCTTCCTTATCTCAATTATTGAATCCCCTCCAATTTCTGCATGCATTTGGTCTCTTTCCAACACCTCAAAATAATTGCTTTATTCTTTTCAATTTTTTTAGTCATTTAAAATTGCTATCTGTAAGATGGTTACTGCCTTGAAATTTACATTATTATCTCTACTGGACTTCTTTTGTATGAGAACTAAGCAAACTTTGATGTTATTTAAGTCACTATACCTGAGTCTCTGTTACTACAGAACCAAGCCTAGTCCTGACACCACTAGAGTCGGAATACCTTTCCTAGGAATGGAACATCATCCTCATGATGAACTTGAGATAGAAGGCACAGTGAGTTCTGTGAGAAAACCGGTGCTTCCAACACCCATCACTGGAACTGCAAAAAGCAGCCAGCGGAGAAAAAAAGGCAGTTTTCCCAGCTTTGGCAATAAAAATTCTCATACAATTATCATATTAGCTTGATAGAGAAAAACTAAATGGGGCACTAGGACACACACCCCATTTTTATATATTCAATGGTCATGAATTACAAATTTAGAATACTTTCAAAACATAAAATACACTGTTCCAAAATCATATGATACATTCTGGCTGTCCGTAACACCCAATTGTGGGTTAGAAAGACATGCTCGCTATCTCTACACACCATTCAGAATGCAAGATGACTTTTAAATTGTATTTCCTATTTCTTTTTCTTCTATATTGGGTGTATTTTTGTTATCACTTGCCTGGACGTGTTAGTGGAATGGCTACACGGAGTGCTTTGCTCTTAACCCCGTATGCAGACACATACATATGTGCCCACACACAGAATGTTCTTACCTGGGATTTACGGCTAAGGCAGAAACAGGTGCCTGGACCCAGAAAATGATATAAAAAAAAAAAAACAGCTCTTGGCTCGTGCTATATCCCTGGCACAAGGATAGAATGGCCCCCAAAAGAAGCTATTCCCCCTTAATTAAGTACCACTTCTGGCCAGACACAAGAAGACAGGGCAACATAAGACAACTGCAGTGAACTGGATGATGTTGTCATGGTTGAAAACTGCAAAGCCTGAGACAGAGAGAAAGTGACCTACAGTGGTTTATGTCTACTGAGTTGCTTTTCTAAGTGGTTATTAATTAAGAAAGTAATTTGAGTTGATTATATGCAATCAAGTTTGCTTTCTGAAAAGGTTCAGTTCCTGTTGTGAGTTTAGGAAAGCTCTCTTTAGCCAATTGGACTCTTTATGGAAGAATAATGCTGTGTGGTGTTGTTATTATTGTTATCACCTGTTCCCAAAAAGCTGGAATGCATTTCCTACTAGACAATATATTCCTTAGCTTAATTTCTCTCTATCCTACAAGTCTACAGTCCCCCAAATAGTGCCACTACACCCACTTTGTGCTAAGGGAAGTCACTAACAGTTCCCTACTAGGTGACATTTATTCACATCTTGCTACCCACACGTAACCGGGTCAGAGTCACCTTGTTAGCAGAACCACATTCCTCTCCCCTCCCCGCCAACACACACACATTCCACACACATACACTCCTCTTACTCCACACACACATTCACGCAGGAAAAATAATATGAAAAGGATTTTGAATTTTTTTTTCTGGTCATTAAAATTGGAAAACAGAACCTTGGTTTATCACATTGTATAAAATATTTTGTATGACCGATTTCAAAACCCATTTCAACGAGTACATGTTCCCACCAACTCTGTGACTTTTCTCTCTGCCCACACTCTCTGCAGGCTGGCAGGTTATCATCTCTGCATGCTCTGTGCTTCCCATTCATTCATCTCTGAAGCACAAGCAAAGCCTGTAGCAACCAAGCAGGGCATTCCTTCAATCTGTACTTAAGAGTTAATTGCAATCCCGCTCCTTGAAGTACTGCCACAATTCCCTGCTTCACTGAAGAGTCTTTGATATCAACCTACTGCTCTTGGAAAGATTACAACTTATGCACTTGGAATCCTCTAGCCAGGGTGCACAAGAACACCAGGTATGAAAGCAAAATTGCTTTCTGCGCAGCTTGCGAACTCCACGCCTTTCAATTGACACGTTAGGTGCACTGTAAGCCAAGGAGCTTGTGGTCTCTGAAATTTGGAGCTTTATGTGTCGTTTCAAAGTGAGTTTTCAGTCCCTGAGGATAAATGTCTTGCACATCTGTTGCAATTTGCTGGGGAGTTTTGATCTTAATATTTTGATGCTACTGTCCCATGGCCAGTTGGATATGATCTTTGAAACATTTATTTCTGAAGGAAAGCATCGACTTAAATTATTTCCTCCACATTGCTTTCTGGGTTGCTTCTGAAAAACTAAAAGTCATCCCCAAGTGTTAGGCAGAGTGCGAGGAGGTGTTTTCCCTGTCACATGTGGACATCAGATCTCCTAACTCAGGGTCATTAGAAAACCATCAAGAGTAAGAGAGAAATAGAAGAGAATATCAAAATGCATTCGCGTGTTAAAGATGTCTTACACAGTTTAAAGGAATTTAATTTCTTTTAGTTGTTAGGAAATTTTAAGGGATAAAAATGCCTTTTTCTATAATAATCATGTTTTAAACCTATTTTTGAAATCATTTGACTAGAAATTAGTAGCTAGTCAGCACAATGCCACTGTGCAAACATTAAAACCTCAAATACCCTTCAAGCAAATGAAGACAATAAGTTTGCATGCCTGGATTGCAGTTGTGCAAACTTATTGACCACTTGGCTACTTTTGACCATTGACTTTAAGATTTTTTTATTAAGATTTAATGTATAAGATAATGTTTCTTATACATTATTCCTTAAACTAGGGTATTTGGAATACCTATGTTGGAATAATAGCTCTGAAATCTGTATTTTTTGTATAAGTAGTAGGTAATTCTCATGAAACATGAGATGTTAAGTGTCAGCTTCAAGGAGTATGTTTTGACAAAAAGTAAGGCCTGCCTATATTAAGAGAAAAAAAAATTAAGTGAAATGCAGTTGGAATTTTCCAGACAAGTGGTTATGGCTAAAAACCTACTATATTATTTAAGGTGAAAAAATTGTTTTGTCTCTATTTTTTTTCTTGCTCATTAGATTGAGATTTAAAATAAAAAACAAAACAGTAAAATTGAAGCAAAATATATCATTGCATCCTTGTGTTCAAAGTTAACAATTGCTTTCTCTCTCTTCTTTCTCAAGACCACACAGCAAGTTAGTGCCAGAACTAAGAGTGAGACTGGCAATATCAATATTCTTTGGGATTTTATAGTTCTTTTCATCTTCAAAGTGCTTTACAAAATTCTCTAATAAGGCTCACAAGTTCTGGCTCCTAGTCTTGCTCTCTAATCATAAGACAGCATACCTGTTCTTTGTTGCTTAGCTCTGAGCAACATGCCATTCTTAATCATTACTAAATTAAAGGAAAAAAGTGGCTGTAATAATTTCAACTTAATTAATGACAAATCTGGACATTTCTTTAAATACAAGTCCAATTGCCTGGGCCTTAATCCATATTAGCAAAATTTGGCCATTATTTATTCAGAGTAAAGATAAGTTTTAATTATAAAATTATCTGTAATTAAATGCACTGGGTTGAAATAGTTGCATTTCTGACCAACCTAAAATATTATTCTAAAGGGTTTTGTTTTGTTTCCTTGAAAAATATTTTTGTTTTACATGTCCCTACTGTTTGTAAAATTACTTTTTAGCTTGCTGTGCTTTTTAATAAACTTTTAGGTACACATACGATAAAATAGGTTGGTCTTTAAATTAGAACTAAAGAAGACTATTTGGAAGCCTATATTTTATCTTTATTTCTGTTACTAAATACTTCTGACTTTGGATAAGTTGCTTATTGTTTCTAGATCTTGGTTTTCTCTTTTGTAAGTCAGATGTTTCTTTCAGCTCTAGGAGCCTGAATTATTGTTCACCTTTCACCATTCATGCTGGGACTCTGACTGTCTGAAGTCCCCTAAGTTACTTCTTCTCTCACCGTCAGGTGTAGGCAGGGTTTGAGTATCTGCAACAACCTAGATGGAACTGGAGACTATTATTCTAAGTGAAGTAACTCAGGAATGGAAAACCAAACATCGTATATTCTCACTCATAAGTGGCAACTAAGCTATGAGGATACAAAAGCGTAAGAATGATACAATGGACTTTGGGGACTCAGAGGGAAAGGGTGGGAGCGGGGTAAGGGATACAAGACTACAAACTGGGTTACAGTGGATATTGCTTGGGTGATGGGTGCACCAAAAATCTCACAAATCACCCCTAAAGAACTTGGGCATGTAACCAAATACTACCCGTTCCCCTAAAACCTATGAAAATCAATTTATTTTTTTAAAAAGAAGTAACCTCAGTAAGTCCTCATTTAATATCATCTGTAAGTTCTTGGAAACCATGACCATAAGCGAAATGTACAGTAGGTCCTCAAATAACACCCTTTGATTTAATGTTTAGTTATAGTGTGGATGATTTTTTTAAAAAATGGTTTTATTATATGTGGTTTCACTCAAAGTCACAGTTTCCAAGAACCTATGGATGACGTGAAGTGAGAACTCACTGTATCTAGTCATCAAGCATTTCAGTCTTCAGCCATGATATAGCCAATTAAACAGCAATAGAACAGGTCAAAAATATAAGCAGCTGAGCCCATGTGTGTATACACTGTGTTTTTCCTGCAGACTCTTGGGTTTCAAGCAGTAAGGTATGGAGAGAGAATATAGAGCCATCCAAATACTGTCTCTCATGTCCTCAGAAGACTTTTCCTCTTTGTAAATTGTCCCCTCCCAACAGCTGCTAAGGAACACCTTCTTTAGAATTGGAGTTGCTTCTTTTGTGAGGTCTGTAAGGGAAGAAGTATAAAAATAAGTTGCTTTTTTTTTTGGAGACGGAGCCTTGTTCCGTTTCCCAGGCTGGAGTGCAATGGCTCAATATCAGCTCACTGCAAACTTCGCCTCCTGAGTTCAAGCCATTCTCCTGCTTCAGCCTCCCAAGTAGCTGGAATTGACAGGCACCCACCACCATACCCGGCTAATTTTTGCATTTTTAGTAGAGACGGGGTTTCGCCATATTGGCCAGGCAGGTTTCAAACTCCTGACCTCAGGTGATCCGCCTGCCTCGGTCTCCAAAAGTGCTGGGATTACAGTCATGAGCCACTGCGCCCAGCCGAGTAAGTTGCCATTTTTAGCTTGTTCAAGACTCACACCTCTGAGTGAAGGGGACGCAGGACCCTTTTCTGAGAGCATGTGTTGATAGGGGAAGGAAGGTAACAGCTTTGGTGTTGGGGAGGGTGGGTTTTAAGAAAAGAGACATGATTTCCATCAAACTGAAAGAAAGAACAAGAAGTCATGAAGAGCATATAAAGAATAATAAATAGAAAAATAAACTTCATTTATGTCATCATTTTGGAAAGAGGAAACCCTGCCTACCAACGTAATACTAGCAAAGAGTAGCAATGCCCAGACCACAAGGGCCTATGGCTGCAAATAGAATCACTGGCACTGGTGACATCTTGGGGCGTATTCCTCTAAGGCTTAGACCATGTGCCCAAATAAGTAAATAAAAATTTAAAAAAGGTATTCTAAATCAAAATTCCCAGCTCTATGACTGTGTGTGTGTGTGTGTGTGTGTGTGTGTGTGCACGAGTGCGTGCATGTATGTATGTATGCTGGTGGGGCAAGGGAAGGCGGGAAAAGCAGAACACAAACTCCTAGAACAATTTCACCTTAAAACAAGCATGTTTCCAGGTGCAAAGGCAAGACAATAGAGAGACTGGATCTTCTTCTTCCTCAATTCCTGTGTCTTCAGTTGTACTACAGCATATCTGAACAAATCATCATGCTTGCTGTTGTTGATGCTGTGAATTCTCCCTTTGATATAATCTATTTCCTCAGGTATCTCAGGCTGGAGATGATCCAGATGAATCCTGCTAATAAGCTCAGAAGCAAAATGGGAATCCGAAATATTCCAATTCAATGTTTTACTCACATTGGAATCTTTCGAAAAGGAAAATGACAGTGATGGGTCCATATTTTAGGAAGCTGGTTAAAATGTGCACTTCTCTTTCAGGAGCACATGAGGAGAGGTCTTAGTAAGGCTGCTTTAGCCATCCACTTTCCCGCAATGGTTCTATATCCACAAAACCGAGTTATGAACAATGAGATTTTAGGGTAATCATATTTAGCAAATAACAACATGGGATACTCAATTAAATTTGAATTTAAAATAAAGAACAATATATTTTTATTATAACTATGTCCCATGCAATATTTGGGGCACACTTAACACTAAAAATCTATTCTTTGTTTATCTGAAATTCAAATTAATTTGAATGTCGTGAATTTTATGTGATAACCCTAGGTAGTTTTCAGCAGAAATATGAATTATTTTAGTCTACTCACAATGATGTCTTGAATTGAAATATGGAAGGAAAATTTGTCCCTACGGCACCTTTTCACATCTTCTTATTTCACCAACAGATTACCATAGGTTTGCAATTGAAGTAATGAGTACATGTGATCATGTATGAGTGTGACCTATGACCTAATTTTATCATGTTAAATAATTATTTCCAAATAATTATTTCCAAGGGAATGGTTTGTGAAGTATAGAAAAGTTGTGCAATCCCCATAATATTGGGTTTAAATTCACGTTCCAATGAGTTACATTAAATGATTTACTGATGCTTTGTTAATCACTATCTGAGTGTAATTGTACATTTTTACGTCTCTGTATTTTTCACTTCTGAGCATCTTGAGGAGACAGTAGGCATTGTTCTCCCTGCCTGACTTGCTCTGTGCTACAGGTTGCATCTGTCAGTGCAGGGACTTGCTCCAGAGAGGCACCAGAGAGGTCCTGAGAACCCAAGATCAAATCCTTAAAGCAGCTGCTTGCTCATGACCCACATGAGCAACTTCAATCTCAGAGACTGCACAGCCAGTAAAGCCTTTTAATAGAAGAAATGAGCTCATCCAACTTCATTCCAGCAGCTTTCATCTCCTATCTCCTAAGCAAAATCTATGAATAAGGAAATAAAATACTCAGCTAGAAAATAAAAGCATAAATCTTTACTAAAAAGTCTCCATCACTCTCCTGCAGCTACTAATTCCCATATTCTCCCAATAGTCTCAGTAAACAGCTTCCCTTTCGGTGTCATGGAGAAGAATGAGGCCGTTAGGCGGGAATTTGCTTACCTTCCTGCCTGTTCCCTCTAGAGCTGTGACAAAATAACCTGTGTCCAGAATCATGGCATCTTCAGACCATAGAAGGGCTGGTTCTCCTTAGTAGAAGTCTTCTCCTTCCATGCATGTCCCAGACGGACTTTCCTCGTCTCTCTTGAGATCTCTACTCTTTCTCTGTTGCTATCTCTGCCTTTAGCTCCAGCCTCCCTCTCTGTCTTCTCTTTCCCCATGATTTATATGAATGCTGAAGTTTCTCCTCTGTTAGAAACATAGAAATAGAAATTTTGACTTCTGCCTCCCTGTGGTTTCCAGCCCATCTCTCATTGCCTCCAGTGGAGAGTCGTTTACCCTACCCTCTCACCCTCCACGTCTCCTCCACTTCTACAAATGCTGGCTTTCTCCTGTAAGTCCATCCAGGAATTCCCCAACACATCCAATTGTGAAATCCAGTAGATATTTCTTTTCTCATTCGTTATTTCATTGCACCTCTCTGCAACCTGTGACACTTTTCAAATTTCCTGACACCACCTCTCCCTTACCTTATCTTACATCTTCTATTCTTTGTTCTCAGGTTCTTCTGTCAGCTTATCTTCCACTAAGCTCCCCTTATATTTGTATATTACATTGGATTTTATTCTAAGCCTAATCTCATGATAATGTGCATCTCATTCCCGGGTGATGTCAATGTTTCCCATTGCACCAACTACTCTGTGTGTTTTAGGGCAGAGACTACGAACCCAGGCAGGGTTGGAACCCACTAACTGTATCATGAAAGGAAAATCCCAGATCTTAAAAAACAAAAATAGTATGTTAAATACTGGGAACAATTTTCAATCTAAAAATCTGGGTTTATTATTCATTGCAGTGAGGAACAACACAGACTATGAGTGTTTGAATAAAAAGATGTTAAAAAGAATGTACATTCAGCAATCTCACCTCTAGGTACATATCCTAAGGACCTGAAATCAATATTCAAAGAGATATATGCACTCCTGTGTTCATTGCCTCATTATTTAAAATAGCCAAGTTATGGAATCAGCCCAAGTATCCATCAATGGATGAATGATAAAGAAAATGTCTGTGTGTGTGTGTATATATATATATATATATATATACACACACACACATATACATATATACATATATATACACATATATACACACATATATACATATATACACACATATATACATATATACACATATATATACATATATACACATATATACATGTATACGTATGTACACATATATATGTATATATATGTGTATATATATATATACACACACACATTTGGAATCAGTGTAGAATGACTGAATCAATCATTGATATATAACAATCAAATTTTATTTTATATATATATAGAAGTGCATATATCTCTTTGAATATTGACTTCAGGTCCTTAGGATATGTGTGTGTGTGTGTGTGTTTGTGTGTGTGTATAGACACACACAATGGAATACAATTTTGCCAAAAAAGAGAAGGAAAGCCTGTCATTTGTGACAACATGGATGAACCTGGAGGACACTATGCTAAGTGAAATAATGCAGGTGCAAAAATACAAATACCACATGTTCTCACTTATTCCTGGATGCTAAAACAATTGAACTCATAGAAACAGAATGTAGAATATTAGTTACCAGAGGCTGGGGGTGGAGAGAATGGGGAGATGTTGGCCCAATGGCACGAAGTTGCAGTTAGACAGGAGGGATAAATGATCATTATTTAAGTTCATGGATATGTTATATTGATTCAATCATTCCACACTGAATGCATTTATCATAACATCACTGTGTATAATTACAGGCAATTATTATTTCTTCAATAAGTAAATGCTACTTTTTTTTTGAAAAATCATTCAATATATGACTTGGTATCAGTTGAGTGATTTGAGGGAGGGCCTAAGGAAGAAGGACTATGCTCTAAAATAGATGTCGGACAATAAATAACTAAACATAAATTTCAAGAGTCAAACTTTTGTCTTTCAGTCTAACTTGCACAGAGTCACATGGTGTATGCTTTTTGGAACCATTACATAATTGGGAATTAGAGGTTTGCAGCAGTGGTGGAGGACAGAGTTTTCATACACTCACTTTGGAGAAAACTAGAGAGAGGAATGGGAGAACTGCCAGAGTTTTTGGTGTTTCAGATCACCGCTATAAAGTACAGATGTTTCTGTGAAGTTTATCTGACTTCATCTGAACAATTCCAGTCTAGAAATCAGGTTGCAAATCTACCACAGTGATTTCTTTGGCAAGAGTTCCAGAGTCTTCCTATTTTGGTCTCTCTCACTATGTCTTACTTCCTTTGCTCCCTTTTTTTCCCTCTAAAATAAAGGAAGCACAATGGTACACTTAAAGGACATACCCATTGGAAACAAACTCAAAAAAGTTTTCTCAAAGGATAAATGCTTGAGGGGATGGATACTGAATTTTCCATGATGTGGTTATCATGCATTGCATACTTGTACCAAACTATCTCATGTGCCCCATAAATACATACATGCACTATCTACCCACAAAAATTAAAGAGGAAAAAAAAGTTTTTGCAATGCTAATTAGAGTTTATTTCAAAATTTTCCCAATACATATTCTAAGTTCTATCTCAACAAGTTGGTTTTGTATTAGGTTAAGATACTTATGCCTAGAATATTTGGATGAATCTAAATAATAAATATAAGTAATGAATCAGACATCTAATTTGAATATCATTATAAATATAAATTTCTTACTAAATTTCTCAATTAAAAATTAGTACTATGTAGAATTTAAATATTAGCACCTTGGGGATTATTGAATCTGAACCCCTCTTTTCACAATTGAGGATACTGCCCAAATGAAATTCTCAATCATGTATTGCAAGCTAAAATCTTAATAAAGTCTTCCATATAAATATTTATTTGATCATACCATTTTACATTTTGCATATTTGTAATATTTATTTGATCTAAAATTTTAAATTGTCACTCAAATCCAGTAAAGATGACCTCAGTAACGGACTGTATTAAACATCCAATTAGCCATAGTAGAAATTAGATTTTTGACTGTTTACTAGGTGCTAGGTGCTATATGAAACATTTTACATAAATGATCACATTTAATATAAACAATAACTCGATGAGGCAGGTAGTATTATTTTTCAGGTTTTATGGATGAGGAAACTGGATTTTTTTGCAAACTTAAGAAACTTGCCCAAGGTCACATGGCTAGTAATTAGCAGAAGCAAAACCTGAACTTACTTCAATTACTTCATGTCTGAGCTATCAAAGGGAGAACTTTATCATGACTATGAGAAACTGCAATTCCTGAGGCTATGTCAACATATATATTTTTAAATAGCACTGAATTACTTCCCCAAGCATTTTGTTACATTTTCAATTCAGTTCAAAAAAATTTTCCCCATATGCTGTCTATTAGGTTCTGTACCAAATGAACGTGAGTCAGAGACCCCCAGAGAAGTGAAACTGGGTGGCTGTATTCAAGTCCCTTTCTAGCTCATGACTAGAGGCTAAAGTATTAACAGAAAGTGCTGGCTGGGTGCAGTAGCTCACTCTGTAATCCCAGCACTTGGGAGACTGAGGTGGGCAGATCAATTGAACCCAGGAGTTTGAGATCAGCCTGGGTAACATAGGGAAACCCCATCTCTACTAAAAATACAAAAATTAGCCAAGTGTGGTGGTGTGCACTGTGGTTCCAGCTACTCAGGAGGCTGAGGTGGGAGGACCGCTTGAGCCAGGGAGGTCAAGACTGCAGTGAACCATGATCACGCCACTGCACTTCAGCCTGAGAGACAGAGTGAGACCTTGTCTCAGAAAAAAAAAAAAAAAGGAAAACAAAAGTGCTCTCCTCATTGTTGGTTAGCCTCAGTTATCTGAGTAACAGTGGAAAGTTATGTGAACCAACACTATTTTTTAGACTTCACTTGCATATAAGCCATGCACTTCTCAGCTGCATGCTCTTTGACATCACAGAAGGAAGAGCAGCATGAAGTTTGTAGCCACATCTAAATGTAATAGTGAAAAACTTCCAAGAGAAGTTCTCAAGCCATTTCACAAAATAACCATAATGTTGAGTTATTTTTCAGAAGAGTTGCTCCATCAGTATATATTTTTTTCCTTTAGATACTAAGAACATTTGAAGTGAATTTAATTTTCAATTGCAATAAGGATCCTACTTTATGCTCCTGGAAAGTTTTTTTTGTCTCTTTTTACAAAATAGTTTCCAAATTTCATTTTTAATTTATTAAAATCTGTCATGTTCTTCATATACTTTCATGTTGTCCTTCTGTAATCATGCATAATTTATAAATAAACAGACAACCATGAACATCATCAGTACAATGTATTTCCTGCTCTGTAAAGTATTCCTTTTTTATCTTTTATATATATATATACACACACACTTTAAGCTTTAGGGTACATGTGTACAACGTGCAGGTTTGTTACATAGGTCTACATGTGCTATTTTGGTTTGCTGCACTCACCAACTCGTCATTTACATTAGGTATTTCTCCTAATGCTATCCCTCCCCCAGGCCCCCAGCCCCCGACAGGCCCCAGTGTGTGATGTTCCCCGCCCTGTGTCCAAGTATTCTCATTATTCAGTTCCCACCTATGAGTAAGAACATGCGGTGTTTGGTTTTCTGTCCTTGTGATAGTTTGCTGAGAATGATGGTTTCCAGCTTCATCCATGTTCCTACAGAGGACATGAACTTATCCTTTCTTATGGCTGCGTAGTATTCCATTGTATATATGTGCCACATTTTCTTAATCCAGGCAATCATTGATGGACATTTGGGTTGGTTCCAAGTCTTTGCTATTGTGAATAGTGCTGCAATAAACATACGTGTGCATGTGTCTTTATGGCAGCATGATTCATAGTCCTTTGGGTATATACCCAGTAATGGGATTGCTGTGTCAAATGGTATTTCTAGTTCTAGATCCTTGAGGAATTGCCACACTGACTTCCACAATGGTTGAACTAGTTTACAGTCCCACCAACAGTGTAAAAGTGTTCCTATTTCTCCACATCCTCCATATCCAGAACCTGTTGTTTCCTGACTTTTTAATGATCGCCATTCTAACTGGCATGAGACGGTATCTCATTGTGGTTTTGATTTGCATTTCTCTGATGACCAGTGATGATGAGCATTTTTTCATGTGTCTGTTGGCTGCATAAATGTCTTCTTTTGTGAAGTGTCTATTCATATCCTTTGCCCACTTTTTGCTGGGGTTGTTTTTTTCTTGTAAATTTGTTTAAGTTCTTTGTAGATTCTGGATATTATTAGCTCCTTGTCAGATGGGTAGATTGGGAGTTTTCTCTTATTCTGTAGGTTGCCTGTTCACTCTGATGGTAGTTTCTTTTGCCATGCAGAAGCTCTTTAGTTCATAATTGCTACAAAGAGAATAAAACACCTAGGAATCCAACTTACAAGAGATGTGAAGGACCTCTTCAAGGAAAACTACACACCACTGCTCAGTGAAATAAAAGAGGACACAAACAAATGGAAGAACATTCCATGCTCATGGATAGAAAAAACCAATATCATGAAAATGGCCATACTGCCCAAGGTAATTCATAGATTCAATGCCATCCCCATCAAGCTACCAATGACTTTATTCACAGAATTAGAAAAAACTACTTTAAAGTACGTATGGAACCAAAAAAGAGCCCACATTTCCAAGACAATCCTAAGCATAAAGAACAGAGCTGGAGGCATGATGCTACCTGACTTCAAACTATACTACAAGACTACAGTAACCAAAACAATATGGTACTGGTACCAAAACAGATATATAGACCAGTGGAACAGAACAGAGGCCTCAGAAATAATACCACACATCTACAACCATCTAATCTTTGACAAACCTGACAAAAGCAAGAAATGGGGAAAGGATTCCCTATTTAATAAATGGTGCTGGGAAAACTGGCTAGCCATATGTAGAAAGCTGAAACTGGATCCCTTCCTTACACCTTATTCAAAAATTAATTCAAGATGGATTAAAGACTTAAATATTAGACATAAAACCATAAAAACCCTAGGAGAAAACCTAGGCAATAACATTCAGGACATAGGCATGGGCAAGGACTTCAGGACTAAAACACCAAAAGCAATGGCAACAAAAGCCAAAATAGACAAATGGGATCTAATTAAACCTTTTTGATCTTTTAAAAAATTGTGAAATCCAGAATAGAATGATGTTCTGTTATAGAGAAGGTTCTGGATAAACTTTATCTATTATTCCAGGTAGACTTTATCTATTATTCCCAATTTAAAAATTTTATTTCGGGAAACAGTTAACTAACGGAATAAATCAATCCACTTACCATATACTCAATCTTAATAATAACAATTGCTACCATTTATTATCTGTTTGCCATTTGCCATATGCCAGAAATTAAGATAGGTGCTTTACTTATCTCATTAATTCCTTACAATATATCTGTAAGGTAAATATTATTTCCAGTTTACAGACGAGAATCCAAAGCCCAGAGATATTATACCAAGGTTATTCACTAGCAAAGCCAGTTTACATCTGAAAGATTATTTTAACAAAATTAATTGGTGTTGTAAGCCATAGATTTCTCCCACTGGTTTTCTAAACCCTAATAAAGAAAACTAAGCGGCCGGGCGCGGTGGCTTACGCCTGTAATCCCAGCACTTTGGGAGGCCGAGGCGGGTGGATCATGAGGTCAGGAGATCGAGACCATCCTGGCTAACAAGGTGAAACCCCGTCTCTACTAAAAATACAAAAAATTAGCCGGGCGCGGTGGCGGGCGCCTGTAGTCCCAGCTACTCGGGAGGCTGAGGCAGGAGAATGGCGTGAACCCGGGAAGCGGAGCTTGCAGTGAGCCGAGATTGCGCCACTGCAGTCCGCAGTCCGGCCTGGGCGACAGAGCGAGACTCCGTCTCAAAAAAAAAAAAAAAAAAAAAAAAAAAAAAGAAAACTAAGCATCACACAATTGGGCCATGGAAAGCAGTAGCCATAGAATGTAAGCTGAAACATTAATGTACCCAGAGACACGTTTTAGCTTAGCCAAATAGTTATTGCTGCAAAAAAAGAAACCAGTGCCTGGGAAAAAGGCTTTTTTTTTTTTTTTTTTTTTAACCACTTGTCATTTCTGCTGGTGCCAGGTGGCAAGGCAGAAGACTCTCTTAATACTTGGGCTTTGAGATGCATTTTTGCCCCTCAATTCTCATGCACCACATCTCCGCAGTGAGATGTCAACTGCATCACAAATGGTGTTGTGAACACCAACTTCAATGGGAGTAACTTGGAGCTGCAGACAGGCTGGTTAGGGGGATACATGAGAGGGTAGTATAGGAACACATCATGTTGGCCAGGCTAGTCTCAAACTCCTGACCTCGTGATCTGCCTCCCAAAGTACTGGGATTACAGGCATGAACAACGCACCCAGCGTGGTGGTGCGCGTCTGTAATCACAGCTACTTGGGAAGCTGAGGCAGGAGAATTGCTTGAACCTGGGAGGCGGGGGTTGCAGTGAGCCGAGATTGCACCACTGCACTCCAGCCTGGATGACGGAGTGAGACTGTCTCTCTAAAAAGAAAAACAAACAAACAAACAAAAAACTCAGCAATTTAGGAAATAAAACTAGATGAGTACTTGATGCCAGGCATTATTCTATTCCCCTAAGCTCATCTCTTCCAACCTAGTGCTCTCACTGCCTGACTGGCTTCTCCGAAGTCACCAATTCTCGTCCAAGGGAGGCCCCTGCTTTCCTTCAAATCCTATCTGACATCCCATCTCTCAGCTCTCCAGCACAATGAAGACCTCGTTCTGCCTGTGTTTTGTAGGACTTGCCTTAAGTGCATCTGGATCTCACCCTTGGCAGACTCCAGATACCTAAAGAGTGATGCTCTCTGGGTTGTCAGTTCATGGAAATGTCCCTGTGTTCACTCTTCTATTAACTAGCAGTTACTATAATAGTTATCCCTCCCTGCTCCTGGCATTACTTAATTCTTTTTTTAATACCTATACTGCTTTTTTTTCCTTTTTATTATTTTTTATTTTATTTAGAGGCAGAGTCTCACTCTGTTACCCAGGTTGGAGTGCAGTGGTGTGATCATAGCTCACTGCGGCCTCAAACTCTTAGGCTCCAGTGATCCCCCTGCCTCAACCTCCCAAGTAGCTGGGACTACAGGTGCACACCACCACACCTGACTATTTTTTATTTTGTAGAGACAGAGGTATCACTTGCCCATGCTGCTCTGAAATGGCTGACCTCAAGCTATCCTCCCACCTCAGCCTTTTAAAGTGCTAGGATTACAGGTGTGAGCCACTGAGCCCAGCATTTTTTTGTTTTGTTTTCATATGTTAGTTCTTCACATGCTGGATTAAACCAGTTCTTAAGCTGAATCAAATGTATCTTAGACTCTTCTACTCACCCGACTTTCACACAAGCAGTGCTGTACCTACCTACAGCTAACGAACATTTCACACATGTGCACACACACACATAAACATCTTTATATTAAATATCCAAAATATAATAACTATAATAACTATACCTTTCAACTATAAATGACACTGATACACACACACACACTTATTTATGCTATATGAAAGCATTTTCTGACATGAAATATGAGATCTCTTTGATACACTATAATGCTTTAGAATAAATGTTCATTTCAGGGAAAATGCCTTCCTGAGTTATTTATTTGAGAATAATAAATTATTTGAAAATTATAAAAGCTGAAAAGTTACTTGCAATAACAGCTTAACCTGCACATGTTGCCCCGTTTTCCTTTCTTTAGGCCCTTCATATGCATTTCTAGTTAATCCCACTGAGGTTTTTATTTATAATGAAATGCTTCTATCCATTATACATGACTGAATGATTAAAATAAAACTAATCTTTCCTCCTTTATTCCTTCCTTTCTTCTTTTCATCCTTTTTGTCTTCCTTCTTTCCTTCTTCCTTTCTTTGTATTACTGAAAACTCCTGGTGGAAAGACATTTTAACATTCACCAGTAAAATTAAATGGTTATTCTAGCCATCTACTTAATATCTGTGAGTTCATAATAATATGACCATACACATTAACTTTTCTCGTTTGGATAGCAATAAAAATAAAACAACTATTGGGTATCTCAAAACTATATTCATGCATTTTATTTAAAATAAGAAGAAAAGTTTTCTTCTTCAGGTTTCCTGCCTGATAAATCAACCAAGGCTGCCACATAATCAACTGAATAGATTGTAATGATAGCCAAAATTAAGAAGTTTGATATCACTCATTTCAAATTTATAATCATTTCAGTTCTTCTGAAATGTTGTAAAGGCTCCAGAGAACAGAGATTCAGAATAGGTAATTCATCTTTACCACTGACATTCTTAGAACATATTTTTTTGGAGTGTAAAGACGTACCTTTCATGCTATAATAAAGTGCATTTACTTTGATGTTGCTTCAAGGACAAAATGATGCCCTCAGGATAGTAAAATTTCTTGGGGATTCACCTATGCAAAATGAGGGTCAGACTTTGACCCTGATGCTGCTTACAAATGATAATAGCAAAAAAAGGTAACCTAGTACACATTGTAAAGCATGGGATTATATCATCAGTAACATACATCTAGAAATTACAATTAGGTAAAAAAATGAAATCCATGCAAGCCAATTTGTAGAAATAGAGAAGTATCTCCATAATTACTGTTTATTTAAAACAGATTATTCTGACACTGTAATTGACTTTCCAATTTTGTACATAAGAACTTTATTGCTCTGCTTACCATTTATGTCAAAGATATATGTCTTCTTTAACTAGCAGTTAGCTCTTTACTACATAAACAAATTTCCCTCCTTTGAACAATCTTAAATATAAACATATATATTTGACATGATTCTATTGAAATCATGTTACATATAAAGTTATTGAAACACCCATAAATATGTAGAAGATAAAATATTTAGAGAGATCACAATTTAAATGTTTCCTAATAGGAGGTGAACCAACATTTTTATTCACTTTGCAAAACCATCAGGAGGTAAGTTTTTTATCCAGTTGGTTTCCTCAACAATGAAATCTTCTTGTAAGTCACCTGTGTAATAGTAAAATGGAGATTTTAATCTCAGTGTCCACTCCTAAACTTATTTACAGCCAGACTAACATGCTCATTAAATACAGACTACTTATTTTGATCTCATAGTTTATACAGTTATTCAAGTTTTCAAAATTATAAAAACCAAAGGCATAAAATTAAAATACAATTAAACCACAAAAAAATAAAAAACAGATAAAAAGTCATATCTCTGATTTTCAGATGACTTTTAAAGATTTTTAAATTTTTGAGGTCATTCACAGGAGCACTGGTCAAATCCAATACATCAGTTTTCAAAAAGGTGTTGAAGGGTCGTTCCCTAAATCATAATCATAACAATAATAGGAATGACTATCATTAATTAATCCCAACTGATATTTTAAGCCTTGAATACTCATCATGTCCAGCCCTCACTACAATCCTGTGAGGTGGTATGATTTATTGCTGAATGTCTTGCTCAAGACCAAACAGTTGGAAAATGGCAGATCACTGGTCTAAACCCAGGTTAGCCTAACCCTAATACTTTTCCACACTCCATATTGCTTCTGGCGGCCCTCAGGCAATGTGTTCCTGGTGGCCACAGATCAATAAATTATCCAAAATTGAACAAGCAGAGAAAAGTGAAAAAGGTATATTGCTAACTTGTGCTTTTGATTACCATTATTTTTATTTCGCTTTCATCTTTCTATTCCGAAGACTAATGTTTCCTACCAACAGTGAAAAAAAATGTAATATATACTGTGAGTTTATCACCTGCTTGGCTAATGAAATGCCTAAACTGAAATCTGTGTATTTATCCCTTCGGGCATGTCAAAAGTTTGTTTGGAAATAATACAATACAAAGAAGGATCATCTTGTCATCTTTTAAAATAATTAAAACTTGCCTTACTATTTCAGGTTTAGACGTTTCAATCATTGATCAAGAGAATTCTCATGTCATATGGATACAGATGTCACACTTCTGCTTTGTAATTATATCGCAACAAAAGTCCTATTTCTCTCAAAATAATACTCAACACTCTCCCACAAGCCGTAATGGAAGTTTCCCATTTGGATTATTAAATTCTTTTGCTACAACACATGAGACAGGACATTAAGGAAAATGAACGTAAAGTTATGTTTTTTCCAGTAACGGTTAATAAACATATTTTTATGAAGAACCAGAATAAGTCAGACGCTAAATTCCCCAATGCTCCCTGTCCACCATCTTGGTAATCCTCCAAACCTTCGAGAAGGTATAAATTCTTGCTAAATTTAGCTCCTGCTCAATAAAGACTCAAGACTTGTTTAAGATCTTCCCACTCTCCAGCACACTCAAACACATATCCACATAATGCATTTTTTCCTGAGAATCATGTAGATGTAAACTGTATAGAAGGATAATAATGGAAAATTTTTATCTAGGCTCTAGACTCCTGGCAGAACCAATAAATAATTGAGTGGATGTTCTGTTGGAAGGTTTTTTAAGCTCATGCTTTGCTAATGCAACTGAAGTGATTATCACAGTGCCTGACACAGATGCATACTAAATTAAGTATATGCTAAAGCCTTCAGGCCCAGAAAATAGGGTAAGTCAGAGAGAAAACAAAAACACACCTATGTAGTTATTTTTGTCCCTGCTTTCTTTCTTAGTAATACCAGCACCTACCCCAGAGATTTGGGGAAAAAAACAACAACAAACTGTGATACTCCAGTCCAATTCAAGCTGCCCCTGTGTTTTATTTGGCTAACTTAATGTTATATAAAACTTTTGAATTAGATGTCAATATTTTAAAAGCAACAACAAGAAGAACATCTTACAGAAAAATCCATATTCCAGTTCTTTGCAAAAATCCATCCAGCCTGGACCCCAAATCTCCCATGTCAACATCCAGCAGGCTCAGAACATTGTCTGCCTTCTGTTAGACAGGGATTCTTCAGTTACCAGAGTCCTGCCCTGCCAGCCTCGGTCATTTCACCATCCATCTCACCTCTGTAGGTAACTGGCTTTTGCCCAGTTATACTTGCCAAAAACATGACATCTGTCCTGAATTTCCCCCTAAATACCCACATATGTACACATCTCACCCCCAGTCATCTATATCTCCCCTCTTCCACCTGAATTCCTTCAGCCTCCTTCCACACACACAGTCTTCTCCCTACCTCCAGACCCAGTGCCTCCCACAGAGCAGCCAGGGAGCTATTTCCAAAGGGCATACTGTCAAATCACTGCTCTAGTTAGAATAATTCCAGAGTCTGGGTGCGCTGGCTCACGCCTATAATCCCAACACTTTGGGAGGCTGAGGCGGGCAGATCACGCGGTCAGGAGATCAAGACCATCTTAGCTAACACGGTGAAACCGTGTCTCTACAAAAAATACAAAAAATTAGCCGGGCGTGGTGGCAGGCGCTTGTAGTCCCAGCTACTCGGGAAGCTGAGTCAGGAGAATCGCTTGAGCCCAGGAGGCAGAGGAGGTTACAGTGAGCCAAGATTGCACCACTGCACTCCAGCCTGGGCAACAGAGTGAGACTCCATCTCAAAAAAAGAAATAATAATAATAATAATAATTCCAGAATTTGATGAAGTTTAAAATCTTTGGCCTGATCACACAGCCTTGCTAGAACTGGTCTTCTCATTAGAAACTCTCTTCTCCTAACATAACCCTCTATATTTCAAGGGCTAATCCACAATTTTGCATTGGTTGCACTATATATGTAAAGCATTTAGAAAAGTATGTGACTCTTAGTGCTATGTAAGCATTTGTTGTAGTTGTTACACCAAGAAATTATTTTACATTATTCTTCAACATATATCTATGATTATTCTCTTCAAGTGAAAAATATAGTTACTGTCTTCAAGACATGCATATTCTATAAGCAACTGCCAAAGATTCTCTCTCTGCATAAAAGTCCATCCCTTAGAAGAGATGGATAAAATATCCCCACAGGCCAAAGATTATTTTCTTATTTATTCTTCCTTTATTGTGTTTTTTTTTTCTTTCTAAATTGAGATGGGAATAGAAGGGCAAGGAAAGTTGAAAGCAAGGTGGGAGAAGAGGTACCAGCAAGGTTAGTTTAATTGGATTCTAGTAAGAACTTATTTTGAAGCGATTATATACATTACTCTTTATATGTCTGTGTAGTGATAATTCTGTAAATATATTCATCAGATAGAGTTCTTCGCCTTTGACAGAGTCCCCCATGGTAGGAATGCAAGCTTCTTTCCCAATAAGAGAAGACCCTCCTAGCGCGTCCACCAGACTGTGCTGCTGGGTTAAGTGCTCAAAACAAAAAAATAAATTAATGCAGAAAGGAATTAAGACGTGCCTTCAGTTATACAGCATATTGTGTATGTACCTGTGTCAAACTGCTTTCACTACTAAACAATGCTTTGACTTTTAGGGCACAGATGTCATTGTTTAATTGTCCTGTTACAAATTGCCTCTGTGAAATCAAACTAAGATTTCAGCTAAAGCAATGTTTTTTCAAGATTGTTATACGCTGGTAATTGTAACCATGTGAAAGTGCTGTGGTGATTGGGGTTAAGTGCTGACTGGAGTGCAATGGTGCAATCTCGGTTCAGGGCAACCTCTTCCTCCCAGGTTCAAGCGATTCTCCTGCCTCAGCCTCCCTAGTAGCTGGGATTACAAGCACACACCACCAAACCCAGCTAATTTCTGTGTTTTTAGTACAGACGGGGTTTCACCGTGTTGGCCAGGATTGTCTCAAACTCCTGACCTCAGGTGATCCACCTGCCTTGGCCTCCCAAAGTGGTGGTATTAGAGGCGTGAGCCACCATTCCCAGGCTTATTATATTTTTAAAAAACATTTTATTAACAATGGAGCTATATGAGCAGAAAAATATGTCTGTAGATATTTGTCCCAGGGTCCCACATCTTAGTCTTCCTTCCCTCTAATTGTTTTAACAACGAGAGGTTGTTTATCTGTGGTTCATGAACACATAACAGCTCACAGAACACATTTAGGAGGTCAGACGCTTGAAGCCCCAAAATTGAAAACAAAACTTCCTATGTATGTGCCTTTGAATTGTTTTGCTGTTGCTTTTAGGAAAAGGGTGCTATAAATACTATTAGAATTCCCTAATAAACTCTGAAAGGAAAATAACAACTACAATTTGGTTAATAAATAAGATTAGCCAGAAGTCCATCAAACTTTGAACAGTTATTCACTTATGTCAAAGGGTAAAATGACAGCCAGCATTTCACGAGGCTGCCACAAGAGCTGGCCTTTCTCTGTCCACGGCTGGTCAGCTCCAGCCCAGCTGTGTACTAATGGAGCTGAGGTTCATAGCTACAACATCAAGTGACCTAGCAGTTAAGAATAATAACCTCAGATACCACTGTGTCTAAAACCAACATTCAATCTTTTTCTCCCAACAGTTTTGGGTTGGGGGAGATAGAAAAGTAGAAAGGATATCAATACAGAGAAGACTTGATGAGAAAGTGCCCAGGAAATCTACTGAAGAGATATTTTATATGTTATATAATGGTTAATTAGGCTTGATTTACAGAATTAATTTCTTCTATAACAAGTACATTTTTAAATAAATATGGTAATAATCTTCCTTCACAAATTCATATTTAAAAGAAATTGGGTGGGTTATACAAGTTTCTTTAGGGAAGAACATTTTAATGTTCAGAAAGAAACCTCCCTATCCTTTACCCTGTAAAAGGTAGATTTTGTGAATTCTATACTAACTGATTTAAGATTAAACTGACTGTATGTTCTATGGGGTTTTTGGCTGTTTGATTGGTTGTGTTTTTGTTTGTTTGTTTTGTTTGTTTGTTTCTTTTTAGGATGAGGGGTGGAGAATGAAAAAAAATTTACATTAAGGCTTTTCCTTCAAATTGTTAGTTGCTAAACATAATTTCTTAGTATTCTTGCTTCACTGATTGGAAAGGCCGGTAGTTAACGGCCTTTTATTACAAACTTCCTTTAGTCAGCCGCCCGGCAATTAGGCACAGGCATGCTCTGTGACCCCTCGCTGCCTCCCCACCGGCTTTGATTGGAACTTTGCTCAGTGACACACGTCTAATAGCCAGGAGTGGCACGAACTGAACCATCAAGACTCTGATTTATTCCTTAACCCATATCCTTGGCCAAATAGGGGTGTAATGAGCTATTGTGACAACTGCCAGTGTAACCCAACTTTGTGTTCAGGATGGGGCAAAAATGAAGCAAAGCAAAACAAAACAAAGGTATGCTTCTAATACTAACAAAATCATGAAGACAGCATTGCTGGAATTCCAGCCTGTGAGATTAAGCAGCATGGTAGCTTGGAAGCAAGCTAATTTTGCAATGAGTTTTGTCACTGTGTTTTCCCTTACGAGAAGTTCTTGATTTTGCGTAGCAGAACTAAACAGAGAAAACACCTGTTTGGAATGAAGACATTAAATGACAAGCGAGATTCTTCTCTGGTAACATTCCAAGCTGAATCATCTGAAATTATGAACATTCAATCGAGAATAACTCAACGTAGAAAAGAGTTGAGAAACGATTACCTGCACTTGTTTTTAATCTTCCACGGATGGCTACAGAAAAATAAAATAGCTGTGACTTACAGTGCCTGTCCTAACAATACAACCCCCAGGGCAGCATAAAACAGGCCGACTAAAATTCCTACAACCCAAAGTTCTACATCAGTGGTCTCCAAATGTATGTTTTACACATCGCTTGGGGCTCTTGTTAAAATGCAGATTCTCATTTGGTAGGTCTGAGTTGGGACCGGTTTCATCATTTCTAACAGGCTCCTAGGTGAGCCCACTGCTGCTGGTCCCTGAACCCCACAAGGCAGGCAACCAGGGGCTCCATAACTCCCGTTGTAGCCATTTATAGTTTGATTAATCCTCATCATGGTCTCGATATGCCACCTCGTCTTGCATTTAAAGATATTCTGAATTTCTTTTTGCCTCCTTCTCACCAGATTAGAAATATTATAAGACATTTGGAATGAACTCAGAAGAAGATAATTAAATAGTCTTCCTGGGAGACATTTAAGAATTGGAGTTCATGAGTTTTTTTTTTTTTTTTTGATTTATTTTTAAAAATTTATTTTTGCTATTATTGTAGAAAATATGAAATATAGAAAAATTATAATTAGGACAGAAAAACCACCAAGTATCTCACCTTTCAGAGGTGGACTCTAAACTTACTAATAATTATTTCTTATGAAAATCAAACATATTTACATATTTTGGACCTAATTATTTTAATTTAACATTGTATTATATACATTTGCTGTGTCATTAATTTTTCTCCTTAAAAAAAGAGTTTTAGTATTTTAGTCTAGGGAGGTACTATAATTTATTGAATGATTTTTCTTCATTCAGGAATTATATTGCTCCCAACATTTCCTTATTTAAAGTATCACAGAAATAAAATAATAGAAGTTTTAAAATATCTATCATTGTTATAGTTTACTTTCATAAGCCTTTTAAAGGGGACAGTTGCTCTTCACCCACAAGGAAGTTCTCTTATGCTTTTTTCTTTCATTCTCTAAAAGAATATTCTCAAGAAGTCAAGCCCACTCTTCACTATCCCTGTTGTTCAGGTTTAAAAAACACAACTGCGTTAACATCTGTATTAACCTAGGCACATCTTAATTGAAAACCTCTAATACCTCCTCCATTTTTTTTCATTGTTATTGAGTACATTGTTTTTTCCTTTGGTGGGGGGGGGGGGGATGGATATCTTTTAGCTGTTTATTTGTCTTTAATTTATGTTTCAAAAATAACCCATTCTCAGTTTAAACAATTGGTACTCTATTATTAAGCCATTCTTTTAGGATACAAATCACCATAATGAAAAAAATAAGTTTTATTGCCTACCCATCCTCTGACTCAAGGTGCTATCCCATAATCAAATTTAACATCTCTCCCATTTACTCCTCCCCAGACACACAGAGTCTCCCCCTCCCAACTCTTCCTGCCTATGAGAACCGGGTAGTTTTTCCATAAATACAAACTAAATTACCTGGTTATTGTTGTGTGGATGACATCAGTATAGCCACTCTTAGCTTTATATCAGACTGGCTTCTGTTGGTTTGGTTTTAAGTGGTGAAAATACAATTTAAACTAGCTTTGAAATGGGTAGTAGTAAAATTTATTGTCTCCTGTAACTAGGAGAATCAAAAGAAACATTGTTTTCAGCAATTCTTGGATTCGGGGATTTTATTTTATTCCTTTTAGTCCTACATCTCTCAGCTTCTACTTTTCTCTGCTTGGGTTTTATTCTTGGGCAGGCTGTTCCCACTGAGCTACAAACACAGCCATCTGAAGTCCTAGGCGTCCGTGTTGCTTGGCACCTGCATTCCCAGAAGAAGGCAGTGCTCCATTTTTGGTAGTCGCAGCCAACCACTTCCCTATCAGAGGGCATGGATTGACCTGGCCTTGGTCACATTCCTATTTTTGAACCAATCTTTGAGGTTAAGAGATTCAGCATTTCTAATTGGCTCTCTCCTGGATTATGTACCTGTCCCTGAAGTCATTGAGTACATTTACCATGACCTAAAACACATGAGCTTAGACTGAAAAAGTACAGCTCCCTGAAAAAGAAATTAAGGCACTATTACTAACATAAGAAAACAGATCAGCAGGAGACAAACCAATAGGCGTCCACTGTAGGTATAGTAACCATGCATTTCAGTTTGCCTAGGGCAGTCCTGGGTCATGGCTGTTGTCCTGGAATCCTGAATGGCTTAGCATTTGTCTCAGATGTTTTCATTTCCAATGTATTTGTAATATTAGTGGAAATACAATTAGTCAGGGTAGATTAGCTAGATCTCTACTTTATACTTCCAACTTCTGCCATCATCTCAGATAATACCATGTGTAGATCTATTATTATTGATTCGCTTTATTGTTTGACTATACTTGTATATTTTGCAATAAACCCTTTGGGCAGTAATGGGTTCAAAATATGAAAGAGCATATTTCATGAAAAATGAATGACTGAATTTCTATCTATCAAAAGAAGTTGATGATACATGTGTAATTGGCACAAAATGATTCAAAGTACCTACCATCTTCTTATCGCCACAGTAATATCACTATAAAATGGTTATGGGAAACACAGAAGACACCACTCTGAAGAAGCACCAACAGGTATTTCAACTGTTGGAAGTTAGGTGGGAAAGACTGTGTTTAAGACAGAGGCTTCATATGTGCTCTTTCAGGAAGTAAGCCTTTATACCCCTCTGAGAAGCATGACTTTTCATTTAGATCAGATAACTTTTTCCAAATTAATTGTGCTCATTTTGAATTCCACGTTTTCTTGGACATGTACAAAAGTGGTAACTATTAATACTTTGGATCCGCTTGCAAAGAAAAAGAACTTAAACAATAAAACTGGTATACCAGCATCGTAAGTTGTTCAAATAAAAGTCAGTTAATTTGAAAATTAGTTCATTTTTTCTAGACGTTTATAGATGGAAGTTATATTGTTTGTGGCAAAACATTTCATACTGTTATAAATGTCATTATAATTTCAGTTGAAAAGTTCAAAGCTAAAGAGCAAATAACTTTGGTGAAGTATAATATGATAAAAGTAATGTCCTTACTAAATTAAGAAATCTGTAATTTTAAAAGTTATGTTCCTACTAAATTAACAATATCAATGATATTCTACCAAATGAAATGTAAGCCATATTTCTTAAAATTTACAAAGGCTTTTACAAAATTACGCAATAATAAAACTTTTTTTCTGTTGAAGCTGTTGTTGAACACACACACACACACACACACACACACACACACACACACACAGAGTTTAGCATGGCAGTAAATCCTTGATCTTTATTGCTGCCATCACTATAGGATTCTCAAAATGTTTGAGTCTTTTAAGAATCACTTCATAAATCAACCTAAGTGTTCTATAATTGTATTGAACTTTTCATAAATTACTCATCTAAATTTTGGTTACATTTTATTCCAAATCAGTTGGAGAACTTTAAGCAAATCAAGCAACAAAAAAAATTTACAATTTAGATTTTAGCAAACTAAAATTATTGATAACAATATTTGTAAACAGACATGATTAAGTGTTGAGGGATAAACTGTATACATGATTTAATTTTGAGGTTTTAAACTGTGCTTTGGAATATCTCAACTTGATGGATATAACCTCAGATGATCCTGAATTTTTGTACTGAATGAATATATATTCTTTACCAGGATGAAATTGAGAAGTCCTGGAATTTAAATAAGTCTATTTAATTTTAGTGAAACATTCAAAGGAGTGATGAATAGGGACAACTTATCTGATGAGTTTTGACTTGTAAACATATGATACTATTTATGTGAGTGCAGTGCATGTGTGTGTGTGTGTGAGACAGAGAGAGAAAGAAAGGAGAGAGAGAGAGCTAGAGAGACCTTTATTTCTGCAAAGAAACACAGTTAACCGTGACTGCTTCTGGGTAGTGGAACAGAGGAATTTGAGAAGTAGTGAATATTTTTTTTTTGCATCTTACTATTTGAAAATTTTATCTTGAGTGTGCATTGCTTTAATAATAATAAAAATGTTTGTTAATTTAAAGACATAGATAAATATAATGTAATATTTGGAAGGATACTGTTCCGACACCCCTTATAGGTATTAGAGAGAAGCTTAGAGATCTTTTTAAATTCATGTAAATAATTTTAATGGCGAGAAATTTGCATGCTATGCCTGGTCATGAGAGCGATGTCTAGACATTAGTCCAGGTTTTAGGTATTGTCAAGGCTACCATTCTAGTTAATACTAATAAAGACAGACATATCTTGTTCATAAGGCGAGTATTTTTGTTGCCAACTTATTGAGCTGCCATGTCAGCCACACAGTCACAAAATCCAAGTTCTTCCCCGTTGAAAAAAGGAAACCTATTAATCTTGAAAGTAGGTAATTGACTAATTTTACTGCTGGAGGATTAATAGATGTTGTCTTTATATATTTCACCACGGTTACAATCTCAAAGGAAAGAATGAGCAGAGTAGCGACATTCGTTGAACTTACCTTGGCAGCAAAGAGCATTTTCACTGGCAGTGATCGTGTACTTAGCTGATAAAGGAAAAAATATGTGTGGGAGACCACATGTGAGTATTAGGAGCCATTATTTTCTTTGAAATCTTCTTGGCTCCAAAGAAACTGCTAATTGTCTTTCAAACTGCAACCCAAGCCACTCAGACGATGCTTTCTCTGTAAGACATTTTAGGTTGGCAACAGATACAGATATAGATGCAGAAGCAGATAAGGATATTTTGCAATATTTAGGCACTTGATACTAAATAAATAAAATACCCAAACAGGCCACTGGCTGGTATCTTTCACACCAGCTTCTTTAGTACCATGACACAATCATAATTTCTTTCAGGACATAAACAGTTTTGTATCTGCAACAGCATAATTCTAGATACAGCTTTAGGTTCCAGAAGAAATTTAAAGTTCATCTCATTTACTCACACACTCCAGTCTAGGAGAATGTATTGTTTTCCCAGCTTTAAGGGATATCAGGTTTCTCAGTGACACCATCCCAAACCATTTTAGTCAGAAACAGGTGAAGCGGAGAATGTTATAAAATAGCCATCCTGGATGAATTTTATGAGCCATTGACAACCATGACACAATCTAAAACTATTTTACAAAACATTTACATTTCTCAAGAATGAGGAGCAGGAGTTCAGAAGGTTTCTTCTGGGAAATTTGCTGAGAAGCGGTCATGAACTTTCCATAATGTCAAGAGTCTGACCTCCAAATGTGGCACAGGCTGACATTCTGACAGTATTCTCACTTGCTGAGTCATTGTGCAATGGAAAATAAACAAATAAAGGTAAAAAGTAATGACAACTAGCCCAACATGCGAAGTAAGACAAGATCATGTGCAAAATTGCTTTAGCCTTTGGTGTGCATAAACTCAAATAATATATGGTCCCCTCTTCCCTTTTGAAGTCCAGGTTAGGCATTTAGCTAATTATAATCTCTTCTTTGTTCTAAAAAACAGGAGTCCCCAAACGTAGTGAAACTCTGTTTTTATAACAATTCTCAAAAATAAAGAAAACTCAAGACCAAGAATAGAATCAGCTCATGTTTGTGTCTTCAAAGGAAGAATGTCCTCAAGCAGAGGCTTCTGCTGAGCCATGGGTGGGGTGAATGTTGAGATGAGGACAAAGTATGAGGTTAAAATGCCACCAGCAAGGATGAGACCTGGGAAGGTGTGGAAAACCGAATTCTAAGACAGCCTTCGAGATTTCTGCCTCTCGTCACTTTGCATGTGGGCAGGACCTGTGAATCTGGTGAGGCATCACCTCCATGACTGAGTAGTTCAATGGCAAGGGTAAGAGGATAGTTTAATATAATTAAAGTCCTTGACCAATTGACTTTAAGTTCATTAAAAGGGAAACGATCCTGGGTGGGCCTGACCTAATCAGGAGATCTCTTTAAAAGACAGTCTAGCAGCCAGAGATCGAAAAAGCCAGAGAGACCTGAAACAGCAGAGAAGCTGGCCTTGCAGAAGCAAGTTGCCATATGCGGACAGGGCCAGAGGTAGGGTCTGATGGGCGAGCTGAGGGCCTTAGTCCGACAAGCAAGAAACTGAATTTTACCAGCAACCTGTGGGCTTGAAAGTGAGCTCAAAAGTTCCTATCAGACCACAGCCCAGGCTGACATTCTGCTTTCACACTTGTAGGACCCTGGGGAGGGGACCGAGCTAAGCTGTACCCAGACTCTTGACCAGTGAAAACTGTGAGATAATACATTTTTTATTATATAATGTATTAGTCCATTTTTGCATTGCTATAAAGAAACACCTGAGATAGGATAATTTATAAAGAAAAGAGGTTTAACTGGCTCACAATTCCACAAGCTATACAGGAAGCATGGTGCCAGCATCTGCTTAGTTTCTGGGGAAGCTTCAAGAAACTTACAACCATGGGAGAAGGCCAAGGGGGAGTAGATTCATCTTACATGGCAGGAATAATAGAGAGAGAGAGTGCAGGTGCTACACACTTTCAAACAACCAGATCTCAGGATAACTCACTCACTATCATGAGAACAGCACCAAGGGGATGATGTTAGGCCATTCATGAGAAATCCACCCCCAAGATCCAATCATCTCTCACCAGGCACCCCTCCAACATTGGGGATTACAATTCGACATGAGATTTGGGTGGGGACACAGATCCAAACTATATCATATAATCTGCTAACGTAGTGATTTGTTGCATACACCAGAAGATAAATCCAGGGTGAATATGGGGCTGAGAAGAATTAAGAATATTTTGGAAGCAGGCAAATATTTGTTCAGTCTCAGGCCTAATTCCTTCCAGTTAGCATCCCTTTACTAGCTGGAGCCATTACATTCTTTATGGAGAAATTAGTCCATTTAGTCTACTCTTTTTTTAATCTTTTATAAATTTGCCTAATTTTTAGTGTGCAAAGATCTTTATACCATTGGACAAAATAGTCATTTCTTTATTAGTTCTTTAAACTCTCTTGCAAAAAAATAAACCACTATCCATCAAGACACAGGAAAAAGGAAAGCAGCGATTTAGGAATGCTGTACTTGCTTCTCTTCAACTTCAGCAGCAAAAGCAGGAAAGTTCTCAAACTCTTCCTGACAATAGTTATATTGTCTTAAGCAAAAAGATGCTGGGGAGCATGGGGGCCTGAAGCACAGGCCTTCACATTCTTCTCAAGGTGTTTTTTCTTCACAGTTCAGGCATGATGTTTTTGGTGAAACCATGCCAGGCATGGGAGCAAGCTCTTTACCCAATTCTGTACACAGGGTCATCCAAAAACAGTGATTTCGACTAGGTTCCTGGAGTCCACTGGGTCCACCATCAGCAGGGCCTGGCTCATCCACTCCATTTCTGGAATTATGGTTTGGCCAAAGATCTTGTCCATCGCATATTCCTCCAGATAGAACACCCATTGAGCCTACTCTTAACATGTGTACAATGCAATAAATTGTGGCCAATAAGATTTTGAAATGTGAACCCACGTATTCTGGTGGCCAATAAGATTTTGAAATGTGAACCCACGTATTCTGGTCTCCACATTTTGGTCAAGCCACCCTGGACTCTCTGCCTCAGGCAGAGGCAGAAAAAGTGTCAATTCTGAGTTCTCAAATTTCAAACTGGGCTTTAAAAAACATATGGCAAGAGCAATAATTTGAGAATAAATATTTTGAATCACAAAATCCTGAGTTTTACTTTAGTGTAAAACCTTGAAATTTATATAATAAATAATAGATGTGAGACATATATTTGATGATAGAAGAGCCAGTTCTTTTTTGCCCTAGACAGGTTAACTATTCCATGGTCTGGGAAGAAAGAGAATTCTGCTGGGAAGCAAGGAGCATTCTGGTTAAGTGCCTGAGAAAGTTCTTTGATCTACCCCCACCTTCAAAAGGGTCTCGATTCAAAAAGAACAGATATTAGGCCTCCCAAAAGGTTTGAGAGAATGATGAGGTCAGTTGTGCCTCAATTCCTGGAAGGATATTTGGGGTAAGGAAATATCCTTCTCCTGTTGGAGAAGGAAAATGTCCCACAGAGACTCTCTCATTCATAGTAGCAGTAGATCAGAACAAGCATGGGAGCTGGGGACAGGGGCTCACACCTGGAATCCCAGCACTTTGGGAGGCTGAAGCAGGAGGAGCACTTTAGCCCAGGAATTTGAGAGCTGCCTGGACAACATGGTGAAACCCTGTCTCTACAAAAAATACAAAAATTAGCTGGGCTTGATGGTGCACGTCTGTGGCCCAGCTACTCAGGAGGCTGAGGTGGGAGGATCACTTGAGTCTGGAAAGTCGAGGATGCAGTGAGCCATGATGGTGCCACTGCACTCCAGCCTGGACAGCAGAGTGAGAACTCGAAAAAAAAAAATGATGGAATACTATGCAGCCATGAAAAAGAATAAGCTGATATCCTTTGGTAGAACATGCATGGAGCTCGGTATGGTTTGGCTATGTCCACACCCAAAATCTCATCTTGACTTGTAATCCCCATATGTCAAGGGTGTGACCAGGTGGAGGTAACTGGATCATGGGAGCAGTTTCCCCCATGCTGTTCTCATGATAATGAGTGATTCTCATGAGATATGGTGGTTTTATAAGCATCTGGCATTTCCCCTGCTTGCACTCACTCCGTCCTTCTGCCCTATGAAGAAGGTGCCTGCTTCTTCTTTGCCTTCTGCCATGATTGTAAATTTCCTGAGGCCTCTCCATTCATATGGAACTTTAAGTCAGTTAAACCCCTTTCCTTTTCATAAATTACCCAGTCTCAGGTATTTATTCATAGCAATGTGAGAACAGACTAATACAGAGCTGGAGGCCATTATCCTTAGTAAACTAACACAGGAACAGAAAACCAGATACCACATGTCCTCACTTATAACTGGGAGCTAAATGATGGGAACACATGGACACATAGAGGGGAACAACACACACTGGGGCCTACCAGAGGGTGGAGGCTGAGAAGAGGGAGAGGATTGGGAAAAATAATTAATGGGTACCAGGCTTAATACCTGGGTGATGAAATAATCTGTACAACCAACCTCCATGACACAACTCTACCTATATAACAAACCTGCACATGTACCCCTGAACTTAAAATAAAAGTTACATATAAAAAAAAAGGAAAGAAAAAAGAACAAGCAAGAGGTCTGTGAGGGTGCAAGAGACATCCTCGGGTTGCCTGGAGCTCTAGAATAATCCTGGAATTCTTCCAAAATTACTCATGCATAGAAAGAGACAGGGGACAGATTGCATTCACACAAGGCCTTGCCGACTCTTTGTCACCAGGTGATCTCCAATGCCTCTTCCAGATCTAATATTCTATGATTATAATAGATACTCGATAGAGTACAGCTACTCTGTAAGAGATACCCTAAGCAAGTTCTAGGAGTGAAGCCAAAGTTAGGTGACTGGGGCAAAGAGTAGCTCATCCTCTTCAATCATATGGTATGTATCACCCTATTATGGCTCTTAGCTGTTTGCTCCTTGCCCTGAACACTCAGTGGAAATTTTGGACTGTTTAGGTTTCCTTCTCCACGTGCCTTGTGTTTTATTTTCCTCTGCACTGTCATCAAATATATTGCGACACTTCTTAGTTGGCAGTTTGGGGCCTTCTCTTCTTTCTTTCCACGCCCAGCTTCTTTCAGGAAATCCATAAATTCCCATCCCTTTGGCAGGAGGTGAGCCACATAAAAACCTACAGGCCTGTGATCCTTTCCCATTTTGATACAAATTATTAAACTGGGTCTTCTTTCAGTGGTGGAGTGGGATTAGCAGTCTGTGGCTGGGCAGTTAGAATGCACATCGAGGCAAACTTCTTAAAACAGTGGCCCAAATCCCAAAAGAGACAATTGGCCTTTTGTGAAGCAATTCACAAGTATGACATTCTACCCTTAAAACTGACTATGTCCTGTTATTATGTGATTAGCAGAGTCAAAGGCAGCTGTACTTTCACCTAGCTCACATTATTTTAGGACTTTACAAAGCAGGCTTTGCATGTGGTTCTGAAACAGGAACAGTGTCCCAAGATCTATCAGTAACCAGCCCAGTGTGCTAGTACCACAGCGCTCTGCTAAGAAACTATCACCACGGGTACATAGTAGTCACCTACACCCTAGAATAAAGCTTACACAATGTACACTGATATTATGAATAATAAATATTAACTATATACTACAGTAAGTAAATATTAAAATGTGCAGAGTTACATATTTCCTGGTTACATTTTTCTTTGCAAGTACAGAATGAAATATTCCACTGTTTTAGACCACACTCAAGAGGCTAGGTTTTAACAAGACAGAGGCTTTAGAAAGGTGTTTTCTCAGGTTTGGGCAATGCAGTGGGGATAAAAGGAAAAAAGTATGTATGCCTGGAGTCCCTCTTTACCTTTGTGTATTCTCTTGAGAACATCCTTGGAGCATGCATTTTCAAACATTTATTTCCAGCCAGGCACAGTGGCATGAAGCTGTAGCCTTGGCTACTCAGGAGGCTGAGGCAGGACGATCACATAAATTTGAGTTCAGCCTGTGCCACACAATGAGACTCCATCTCTGAAAAACAAAAGTTCAACTTAAAAATAATTATTTACACATACACCAACCATCATGCTCAACTGGATGGGACCTCTTGTTTTTCCAAGCCTCTTTAGCTCTTTTTCATACAGCTCTTAAGATCCTTTGAAATTCCATCTAGTGGTATGAATATTTTCTTTACCTGATTTTCAGCAACTTCAGTGCAACGACGTTGTACCTAGCATATCTTATTTAATGTATTGCTATAGAATGTCTAGAAAAATTCATTGTAATATTTCTTGTTCAGCAAATAGTTTTGAATGAGTGCATTTTTACTGAAATCTAAACCAGAACTATTCCATGAGCTTTATTCTGGCGGTCAGTATTTCTCACTAAATATGTCTTTGGCCGGCTCCCACACTAAATGCCTCATGTCAAACACTGCTAGCCAATATACCAAGGAAGCTGAGCACAAATGTTCTGACAGTTCTCCATAGGTTGGATCCATGCTAGGGCCTCCTCTGCCTTGTTCTGCATTTTCCAGCAGTGGCCCCTTATTAGGGATGATTACCACTTTGCATTAACAGTGTGCTATCAAAACAAAGTAGAAAGTGTGCGATTAAAATATTAGCAAAAGTTAGTAGGTATCATCAAATGTAAGTAAAATGCAGAATTTGGGTAACAAACACCAGCAGCTTACTCCGCAGGGGGCCCTGGCGCCTTTCACTACTGGGTAAACAGCAGCCATTGCTACCACAGACTCCAAGGAGAAGGAGATAATGCTACTCCTTGCTCCCCCAGAATGAGCTACTGTTACACTGCCCTGGGATGAGGGATGTCACCCCCCCCAACCCCACACATGTCCCTGACTTCAGAACTGTGGCTCTTTCGTGTGTACCTGCACTTCAGACCCTGGCTCCATGCACACCTGTGCTCCAAACCTGGCTCTGTGGCTACTGCACAGGTGCCAGCAGCTCAAACAGTCAAACAGTGCCACCCTTGCAATAAGGAAACCTACAAGCTAGACCGGATATCAAGAAAGATTCCTTCAGACATGACATCCCCTGTGGAAGAAAAAGACATTAGGGAGTCCCTAGCAGCCTTTGTCTTTGAAGATCCCTTACTGCTGCTGTGGATGCCCACAGCCTTGTTTGTTGAAAACCCTTGCAATCTTCACCAATTCTGATCTCAGCTGACAAAGATGCACAGGGAGTTTGCCACAGGCCCTTCCCAGACCTAGAACTGCCACACCTCACTCTGCTAGTGCCCTTGCACCCACCCTCAGGTGGACTTTCTCCAACAAAGCCAGTTCATAACACTTGGAAAGGTGCACTCAATCAAATATGCAAATATCAATGCAAGGCTACCAGAAGGGAGACATCAAGAAAATATGACGTAGCCAGAAGAACACAATAACTTTCCAATGACCAGTTTCAAACAATGGAGATTTATAAATTGCCAGACAAAGAATTCAAAATAAGTATCTTAAAGAAGCCCAGTAAGCTGTAAGATAGTACGGACAGATAAGTCACTGAAACCAGGAAAACAATACATGAACAAAATGAGAAGTTCAACAGAAAAATAGAATATAAAAAAAAATTCTTGAGCTGAAGAATATATTGGATGAAATAAAAAATGCAATAGAGAGCAGCAGACTTGATCAAGTAGAGGAAAGAATCTAAACTTGAAGATTTGCCATGTGAAGTTACCCAGTTAGAAGAGAAAAAAAAAAACCAGAATGAAAAAGAGTGAAGAGAGGCTACATGAATTATCGTATACCATAAAGCAAACAATATTTACATTTTGGGAGTTGAAGAAGGAAAAGAGAGAGAAAAGGGTCACAAATTTTGTTAAAGAAGTGATGGCTGAAAACTTCCTAAATCTGGATATAGATATGGACATCCAGGTTCATGAAGCTCGTAGGTCCCCATACAGACTCAACCCCAAGGACTTTAGTAAGACACATTATAATTAAACTGTCAAAAATCATAGATAAAAAGAGAATTTTGAAGGTAGCAAGGGAAAAAAAACTCATCTCATACAAGAGAACCCCCATGACACAGTGAGAAAACTTGTAAACCAGGAGAGAGTAGGATAATATATTCAAACTACTGAAAGGAAAGAAACTGCCAACCAAAATACTTTGCTCAGCAAAACTGTCATTCAGAATTGAAGGAGAGGAAAAACTTCCCCAGACAAACAAAAGCTAATGAAGTTCACTATCATTAAACCTGCCTTACAATAAATGATAAAGGAAGTTCAGTTTCAAGCTGAAATAAAAGGATGTCCACTAGTAACACAAAAATATATAAAAGTATAAAACTCATGGGTAAAGGAAAGTATAAAGTCAAGTTCAGAATATTCTAATATGTGTTGATAATGTGTATGTCACTTAGATCTAGGTTAAAGGTTAAAGTACAAAAGTATGCAAAGTATCTATAGTTACACTAATTTCTTAATGAATACATAATATACCATAAAAAGATGTACACTGTGACATCGAAGACATAATCTGAGTCAGGGGGAAGTAAAAGGGTAGAGTTTTTGTACATGATCAAAGTTGAGTTATTATCAGTTTAAAATAGACTGTTATAACTAGGCCTTATGTAGACCTGATGGTAATCAAAAGGCTAAAACCTGCAGTAGATACATAAAAGATAAAAGAAAGGAATCAAAGTATACAACAGTGAATAATCAATTCACAAAGAAAAACAGCCAGAGAGGAGAAGGGGAACAAAATAACTCCAAGGCAGGCAGAAAACAATTAACAAGATGGCAATAGTAAGATCCTACCTATTAATAATTACTTTAAATGTAAATTATCAAATCTCTAATCAAAAGGCATAGAATGACCTAAGAGATATTATTTTTTTAGGCCTTGTGTGGTGGCTCATGCCTGTAATCCCAGCACTTTGGGAAGCCAAGGTGGGTGGATCACTTGAGGTCAGGAGTTCAAGACCAGCCTGGCCAACATGGTGAAACACCTACTCTACCAAAAATAGAAAAAATTAGACGAGTGTGGTGGCCCATGCCTGTAATCCCAGCTACTCAGGAGGCTGAGGCAGGAGAATTGCTTGAACCTGTGAGGCAGAGGTTGCTGTGTGCTGAGAGACTCTCTCTCTCTCCATATATGTACACACACACACACACACACACACAAAATAAGCAAATATCAATGCAATATGTATATTTTATTAGTAGTAGTTTTTAAAGCCCAACTATGTGCTGTCTACAAGAGACTTGCTTCAGCTTTAAGGATACACATAGGCTAAAAATAAAACTGTGGAATAAGGAATTCTATGCAAATGGAAACCAGAGAGAGTTGGGATAACTGCACTTATATCAGACACAATAGACTTTAAGTCAAAAACCATAACAAGAAAAAAAAGGTCATTATATTAAGATAAAGGGGTCAATTTATCTGGAGGATATAATAATCATATATGCACCCAAAACCAGAGGACCTAAATATATTAACCAAATATTAACAGACATGAAGGCAAAAACAGACAACAATGCAATAATAGTAGGGGGCTTCAATATCTCACTTTTGGTAATAGATAGATCATCCAATGAGATAATCAATAAAGAAATATTAAACTTGAACTACACTTTAAGCAAAATGGACCTAATAGACATACACAGAACATTCCGTCCTACAGCAACAGAATACATATTCTTCTTAACCACACATTGAACATTCTCTAGTGTAGATCATATGTTAGGTCACAAAAGGAGTCTTAACAAATTTAAGAAAATTGAAATTATATCAAATATTTTTTACCCCAATAGTATGACACTAGAAATTAATAATAAGAGGAAAAACAGAAAAATCACAAATAGCGTAACTTAAGCAACACTCTCCTGAACAACCAATGGGTCAAAAAATAAAAGAGAAATTACAAAATGTAAGACAAAAATGGAAACACAACATACCAAAACATGAATCCAGCTAATCAGCTCTAAGAGAAAACTTTATAAAATAAATGCCTACATTAGGAAAAAATTATATCAAATAAACAACCCAACTCTGCACCTTAAGGAACTAGTAGAAGAAGAAAAACTTAAGCCCAAAGTTAGCAGAAAAAGGAAGTAACAAAGATCAGAACAGAAATAAATAAAATAGAGATGAGAAAATCAGTAATGAAGATCAGCAAAACTATGAGTTGATTTTTAAAAAAAAAATAAAATTGCTAAACCTTTAGCTAGACTAAGAAAAAAAGAGAAAAGACTGGCTGGGTACAATGGCTCAGGTTTATCATCCCAGTACTTTGGGAGGCTGAGGTTGGAGGATAGCTTGAGGCCAGAAGTTTGAGACTGGCCTGGGCAACATAGCGACATCTTGTCTCCACAAAAAAAAAAAAAAAAAAAATGTTAAAACTAACCAGGTATGGTGTTATTTGACTGTAGTCCCAGCTACTTGGGAGGCTGAGGCAGGAGAATTGCTTAAGCCCAGGAGTTCAAGGTTGCAGTGAGCTATGATTGCACCACTGCATTTCAGCCTGGGTGACAGAGCATGACCCTGTCTCTCACACACAAACACACACATACACACACACACACACACACACACACACACACACACGACAAACATATATAAGTGAAAGAGACATTACAACTGATATCACAGAAATGCGAAGGATCATAATAAACTACTATGAACAATTGTACCTCAACAAATTAGATGACCTGGAAGAAATGTATAAATTCCTAGACATGTACAAGCTAATAAGATTGAATCATGAAGAAATAGAAAATCTGAATAGACCTATAACTAGGAAGAAGATTGAAACAGTCATTAAAAATCTTCCAAAAACAACAACAAAAAGCCCAGAACCAGATGACCAAGCATTTAAAAAAAGAACTAACACCAATCCTTTTCAAACTCTTCCGAAAAGTTAGAGAACACTTCCAAACTCATTTTACAAGGCCAGCATTACCCTGATACCGAAGCAGACAAAGACACTACAAGAAAAGAAAACTACTGACCAATATCCTTGATGAACATAGATGCAAAAAAATCTCAACAAAACATAAGCAAACTGAATTCAACAGTACGTAAAAGGATTATACAACATGATCAAGTAGCATTTATCCTTAGGATAAAAGGATGGTTCAACATAAGTAAATTAATAAATGTGATATGGCACATTAACAGAATGAAGGATAAAAATCATATAATCATCTCAATAAATGCAGATGAAGCATTTGACAGAAGTTGACCTTGTTTCATGATAAAAATTCTCAGTAAATTTTGTATAGAAAGAAAGTACCTCAATATAATAAAGGTTGTATATGAGAATAAATGTTGTATATAATAAAGGTTGTGTATGAGAACATCATACTCAACAGTAGAAGTTGAAAGCTTTTCCCTTAAGGTCAAGAACAAGACAAAGTTGCCCATGCTTACCACTTCCACATAACATAGTACCGGATGTCCTGGCCAGAACAATTAGGTAAGAAAGAAAAATAACAGACATTCAAATTAGAAAGAAGAAGTAGAATGATGTGAAACCAGGTATCTGAGTTTGAATCCAATCCCAGCCACTTATTAACTTTAGGACAAGTCACTAAATGCTCTTCTATTTTCTCATTTGTAATATGAACATAATCAACATAATGAGACTTATTTCACAGTATGGTTGTAAGTATTCAATGAAATAATGTAGATGAAGCATTTAGCATCTAAATGCTTTATGGCTGGTATCATGGCTGGTATCACAGTAAACACTCAATAGTCACTTGATTATTTCAGCATAGTTAGTAGCCTTTCTCATTTGTATTTTTTCCTCTTCACTCTATTATATTAAAAATTACTTTTTAAAAGTTGTTTTTTATCCTGTCTTTTTTGAAAAAAAGAAAGTTAATTTTTTCTCATTTTTTAAAATTTCCCTTTCTCAACACTATCCCCATATTTTCCTAGTCCAATCAATTAAAAAAATAAAAAGACAATGCTAATAATATTTTTCAAATAAACCTATTTCATTTATTTAAAATTCTAGTTTATAATTTTATGCTCACAGACGTAATTTCAGTCACCGTTTATTGAATATTTGCTATCAACCAATCATCATGCTAAATAGTATGCATAAAGTAACTCATTTCATTCTTCCAATGACCTATCTGGGAAATTGCTGTATTTGTTTTAGTGATAAAACTGAGACTTAAACATCTTAATCACCTGATCAGAGTTACTCAAGTAAAGTAGAATTCAACCCAAAATTTGGCAGACTCCAAAGCCTTCAAGGTAATCATTCTGTATGCCTCCCTGCCTCGCAAACATTCTCCCCAGCGCAAGCTAGATCTTTTCAAAGCCTAAAACGGATCATATCACCCTGCTAATTCAAGACTTGTAAAGCCCATCATGGAAATCATACAATCCAAACTCCTGATCATAGGTTACCATGAACTGGTCCCTACTTATACCTCGAACCTCATCTTCTGCCGTGTTTTCTTGTCTTTTATGAGGCTTGCTTGCTTGCTGCTGAATAAGCAAGACTATTCTTTTCTTCAGATCACGGCACTAGCTCTTCTTTCTACTTGAGAGACCTGCCCAATAATCTTTACAAGATTGTTTCCTTTTCATTATTCGGGTCCTAATTTATATACCTCTTTCTCAGAAAGTTCTTCCTTGACCTCCTAATCTAATATAGTCACCATCATTTTACCCTATTTACATTTCTTAGGAGCCTATGTTACTATCTGATATTTTTTCTAACTTCAGTATTATTTTTCTCTCCCAATACGATGAAAATCCCAATTTCAGGGAATGTATCTGCCCTGGTCAATATTTCAGCTATAGTGCCTAGAACAGGGCCTGCTATATGATAAGTACTCAATAAATATTTGTTGAATTAAGGAATACATCTGTGACTGTTATGGTTGTTTCTACAAATTATGTTGAAAATACTTATTTTTTGTAAGAGTTGACATGGCATTAATGTGGAAGTGAGATCCATGACTTACTATTTCATTTTGTAAGTGTCGTAAGACAAAAAAAAAGATTACATTTGCACTTTAAGTATCATTTTAATTACAAATATTTTTAAAACAAGAAAAATGAGATCCTTTGATGCTGAGCCATGACATAAAAACATAGTGCTTTTCAGAAAGAAAAAAGTCATCCATCTTGGATGGAGCTCAAAGCACAGTCAGACTGAATGGGACAGAACTTGGAGGACCAGATGTGGGAAACCTGGCTGGGTCTGAACTGGAAGAAGCGCATCTCGTTCTCACTAGCATTTGACTGTCTGGAACTTAGTCATGGGGACTCACCTGACACAAGGGACGCTGGGAAATGTATTCTAGTCGGCCAGCCATGTGCCTGGTACTTCTATGAAAAATGGAAGGAAGGTAAACATGGACTTTGGCAAACAACTGTAGTCCCCTCCCCAATGCCAGCTACTGCACTTAGTGTATCTTACTCTTACGAGCCATAAGAAGATGGAAGTAAATAGAAAATATTTTTTAATGTTACATAATAAAATAGACTGTGCATGACAAATCTATTTCATTAACCTACCGGAAACTGTAATCTTATAGAATTAGGGTTATATAGAGACCCAAAAATAAATGATCTTAGAAGTAATATCATCAGATTGAATTTATTTCATTAGACCTCAGTTATGAAAAACTCCAATGTTTCTTCCAAACCAATAACAATGATGTACAATTTAGAGAGAAAAAATGTGACCTTCTAAACTCTACTTCTTTCATTCTTCAATGCAGACTTTACCCTCCACAAATCATACCAGCTCACTAAATTTAATGATCCTAAGAAAGGATTAAACTTCTTTGATTGCTATAACTTCCAAATTCAGGCCACTTTCATCAAATACACAAAATGTTACGTGCTCAGAGAAATCATGCTGCCACTTTCCTAAGAATGTACATCAATTCTGTTTTCCGGATAAGCACTATAAGAACTCAACGGAAAAGAGCAGTTTTTTCAATGACAATGCATGACAGAAGCCAAAAGGTTTTAAAGCAAACATACAAATGCGTCATCTAATAGTCCATCAACCAGCCCTTGTCACACAGATAAACCTTTTATCTCACTTTCCCAGATTTTAATCAGCAGACTGGTTTGCATGTTTCTTGTGTCACTGTGGCAACCAACCTAATGGGGATTCTTTATGCCCTGAGAAATCAACTCATTTGGGCCTAAATGAAACATTTCGCTGTCTTGTTTTATCTCCCACTCTATTCACATTAACATAATAGCTTTTAATTGGATTGTATTTGTGATTGGAGTCAGCAAAGGTGGTGTTCTCTCAGAGGAAATTGACTGCAAGGCAAGCTGCTGAGCCTCCATCTGGGAGAATTTTTTGAGCTATTGGCCACGGGGCAAGATGGCGTCAGGAAGTGTCACCTCAAGAGGCAACAGATAACTCATTTTTCCTACTTAATGGAAGTCCAACAAATTTATCATAAAGGCTTACAGACTCAAGTATCTGAACTAGTGTATTGGTATTCAAATGTATGTTCTCAAAAATAGAGCACTTACGAAAGGACACGAAAAACATGGGTAAATAGTTGCATGATTTAAGAGATAGAGGGAGGGAACACCCCTAGGCCTGATACACACCACAGATCCATAGATAAAAAGACTGCTGTGTATGATTACATAGAAATACAATACATTTACATACCAAAAGTAATATAAATGAAATAAAAACAAACTAAGGCAATATATTTGTAATTTATTTCACAGCCAAAGGGTTATTATTCTTAATATATAAAGAGGTCTAACAAATTAATACAAGAAACTGAAATAATACATATAGATATGTAATATAAAAAGAAATTTATTAAAAAGGTACAAATGTCCAATAAACACATGAAAAAAAATCCTCTTCAGGACTGGAAGATGTTTAAACTAAGATAGCATGTCTTACTTTTCAAAAAAAAATGATAAACAAGTTTTACAATTTTTCCAGAGAACAAAGTAAGCATACTTTTCAACATTCAATCTACTTTTCAAAATTATCTCTAGCAATGAGGCAAGAAAAAGAAATGAAAGGCAAGTAGGTTGGAATGGAAGAAGTAAAACTATCTCTATTTGCATATGACATAATTGTGTATATGGAAAATTCTAAGGAATCCACCAAAAACTATTAGAATGAAAAAACGAGTGCAGCAAGGTCATAGAATACAAAATCAACATACAAACATCTAATACGTTTCTATAAACTGGCAATGAACAATCTGCAAATGGAATTAAGGAAACAATTCAATTTATAAGAGCATCAAAAATAATAAAATACTTAGGAATAAATTTAACAAAAGAACAGCAAAATGTGTACATTGAAAAAATTCCCAAAAGAAGCCGGGCACCGTGGCTCATGCCTGTAATACCAGCACTTTGGGAGGCCGAAGCGGGCGGATCACGAGGTCAGGAGATCGAGACCATCCTGGCTAACACGGGGAAACCCCGTCTCTACTAAAAATACAAAAAATTAGCCGGGCGTGATGGAGTCCCAGCTACTCGGGAGGCTGAGGCAGAAGAATGGTGTGAACACGGGAGGTGGAGCTTGCAGTGAGCCGAGACCGCGCCACTGCGCTCCAGCCTGGGTGACAGAGCGAGACTCCGTCAAAAAAAAAAAAAAAAAATCCCAAAAGAACTTAGAGAGGACCTAAATAAATGAAAAAGCATCCTGTGCTTATAGATTAGAAGATGTCATATTGTTGAGATGACAATACTCCCCAAATTGATCTGGAGATTCAACACAATCACTATCAAAATTCAAAATTCAAGTTGCCTTTTTTACAGGAATTGAGAAGTTGATTCTAAAACATGTATAGAAATTTGAGACCCAGAATAGCAAAGCAAAACAAAACGAGCATCTTAACAAGGAACAAACTTGGGGAAGTCACACTTCCCTACTTCAAAACTTAGTACAAAGCTACAATAATCAAGATACTGTAGTACTGGCATAAAGATAGACATATAGGTCAATAGAATAGAAGAAGAGTCCAGAAATAAATCCTTACATGGACAACTGGTTTTTGAAAAGGGAGTACCCAAGGGACAGGTTTGTGTCCCATTTTAAAATAATTATTTCTACCTTTTTTCCAGATGCCAATACAAAATTCTCCTCACTTGTATCCAAATAACAACAAAAGTCAATCATGGAAATTAACTCATTTAGATAGGTGCCTTTCAATCCACCAACCTCTTCATTACATCAGACACACTCAGAATAATCCCCGTATATAATCACCAGAAAAAGAAAAATTAGGAATATCTTAATTAATTCCTGTCCCACCAAGAGATGAAAAGCCAGCTGGAAGTGGTGGCTCATGCCTATAATCCCAGTGCTTTGGGAGGCCAACACAGGAGGATGACTTGAGCCCAGGAATTCCAGACCAGCCTGGGCAACATGGTGAGACCCTGTCTCTACAATAAATGAAAAAATTAGTCAGGCCTGGTGCTGTGCACCTGCAGCCCAGCTACTAGGGAGGCTGAGGCAGGAGGATCACCTGAGCCCAGTAGGTTGAGGCTGCAGTAAGCTGTGATCACACCACTGGACTCCAGCTTAAGTGAAAGAACGGTACCCTGTCTCAAACAAACAAACAAAGATGAAAAGCCAACAGTGTAGCAAAACTTAGAAGTGAAATAGTTATCAAAAGTAATTATGACACTTAAATTCAATGCTTTATTTCTACATATACTGAACGTATTTGCTTTTGTATTTAACTCAGTTGTAATTTACGGATCTCATATGTGTCAGATGCTATACTAGACACTAGGAATGTAAAAAGGAACATTATTTACTCCCCACCCCCAGTAGGCTCACGGTAGTCAGGATCTGAGAATTCATGAAGAACGTCCTGATTTCTGTCTCTATCAAGAACAAGACATGGTGCTTGTTTCTTCAGGTATGAAATCACATAGGACACAGTCCCTTCCTTTAAGGAATGCACAGTTCTCTATAAAAGTGGATGAACAGATGGGAAAAAAAGGAAGGAAGGAAGAGAAAGATGAAGGTATATCTAGATTTGTGTAAATAAGTATAATAAAATTGTATAGATGGAATATAAACAGCTTTGCAGGATTTGGTCAGTTTTATGGAGTTTGAACCTAATCCCATGGGCAATGGTAGGTCTCACACCTAGAAAAGACAATTTCCCTTTGATCTGATCTATGGTCTCAGAGAAAATAAATACCATTGAATGGATGTCACTACAAGTGCAAGTGACATTATTCTACCCTGTAAAAAATAATAGCAGCTATTAGAAAGATTTTTTCCCCAAGCTTTATTTGCAGTTATAAACTAAACAGATACTTGTAAAAAATGGCCACTTAAAATGTTAATTTCATGAATGTTTTCAATAATCAAAGCTAAAAGGATTAATGAGTCTAAGAGAAAGATGATACGGAAAGAATGGCAAACTAATTCAATGTTTTTAAAAGGATGAAAAAATCGTCTCTTTTTACAAAATAAAAATAATAACGAAGTCCATGAATTTAAAAAACATGTGTTTATTATGTTTCACAAAAGAAATACAAATTTAGAGTGAAGGGTGGGAGGAAAGTGAGGGTGGAAAAATTACCTGATGGATACGAAGTTCAATGTTTGGGTGATGGGTACAGGAGAAGCTCAATCCTCACCATCACGCATGTAATACTCCTGTAACAAACAAGCACACGTACCCCCCGAATCCAAAATTTAAAAGTAAAGGTATTAATTTTAAAAAAAGAAACAAAAAATTAGAAAGTGTTGAGAAAAATGCAAATGCTAAAAAAAAAAAAAGTTAGAAAGTATATTTTAAAAGGTGAGAGCCAGCCTCTTAGTCAATGTCTCTAACTGAGCCAAAGCTGAATGGAAGCTGTTCTGGGTCTCTTGGACTCGGGGCTCCTCTCTTTCTGCTTTCTCACAGTAGGCTGTGCAGGTGTCCCTTTTGACAAGTGTGTGAGACAATATTTGTGATATTTCCAAAGAATGTAATTTTTTTAACTTTGATTTTAGGTTCAGGGGTACATGTGAAGGTTTGTTACATAGGTAAATTCATGTCATGGGGGTTTGTTGTACAGATTATTTCATCAGCCAGGTATTAAGCCTAGTACCCATTCGTTATCTTTTCTGCTCCTCTCCCTCCTCCCACTCTCCACCCTCAAGCAGACCCCATGTCTGTCATTTCTTTCTTTGTGTTCATGAGTTTTCATGATTTAGCTCCCATTCACAAGTGAGAATGTGTGATATTTGATTTTCTGTTCCTGTGTTAGTTTTCTAAGGATACATAGCCTATAGCTCCATTCATGTTCCTACAAAAGACATGATCTCATTCTTTTTTATGGCTGCCGTTATTATTATTATTATTATTTATTTATTTTTGAGATGGGGTCTTGCTCTGTCACCCAGGCTGGAGTGCAGTGGGCTATCTTGGCTCACTGCAACCTCCGCCTCCCAGGTTCAAGCCATTCTCCTGCCTCAGCCTCCCGAGTAACTGGGATTACAGGTACCTGCCACCACGCCCTGCTAATTTTTGTATTTTTAGTAGCGACGGGGTTTCACCATCTTGTCCAGGCTGGCCTTGAACTCCTGTCCTCGTGATCCACCTGCCTCGGCCTCCCAAAGTGCTGGGATTATAGGTGTGAGCCATCATGCCCAGCTTGCTGCCATTATTAGAAAGTCAAAAAATAACATGCTGGCAAGGTTGCAGAGAAAAGGGAACACTGTTGGTGGGAGTGTAAATTATTTCAATCATTGTGGAAAGCAGTGTGGCAATTCCTCAAAGAGCTGAAAGCAGAACTACCATTTGACCCAGCAATCCCATTACTGAGTATATGCCCAGAGGAATATAAATCATTCTACCATAAAGACACATGTACATGAATGTTCATTGCACCATTATAACATCATTTAAAGTTTAATTTTAGCATAGTTAAGTCTTTCTAAATATTCCTTGCAAATTGACATGCTCCCCAATGAGTACGTTTTGTGATGCCCAGGTCCTCTGATCATACATGCTGAATTTACGCAAGTCTTTTTGATAAGTATTGTGCAGGCAGGCTCAATAGCTATAGCAGTCATTATGATGTTATCATACAATATCCACCCGTTCCTATCTCATCATCCATGATGAGCCACCAACAAACTGTAACCTAAGCTCCTCTCTGAGCAAATTCATTAAGTTCAAATCTAGAAAAATGGTGGCAGAAGATGGGATTTTCTAACTATTCTAAAAAAGATGTCTTGTTCTCTAAAAATGTAATGATTGTCACCAAAGGACTGAGAATGTGTTTTCAGACACCTGCAACCCAAGGGCCTGTTTATATTGATTAAAGATAATCAATTAAAGGTGAGAGAAATATTCATAATTGTCACCATCTTTTTGAGTGTCCATTATATACATGACACCAGGGTAAGCACTTCATGCACATTTGCAGTACATTTCGTTTGCTCCTTAAAACAACTCTTTAAGGAGTCATTACGTCCTAGCTTCATTTTGCAGAAAAGGCAGCAGGCTTGGAGCATTAGCTGACTTGCTGAAGTTTGCACAGATAAGTGGCAGAGAGGAGATTCAAACATAGCCCACCATCTACCACCAAACAGGTTTTTGGAGAATTCAGGTTAATTCCAAGTCATTAATAAGAGTTGTTTTATGTTTTTTTTTGTTTGTTGTTTGTTTGTTGGTGTCAGACTTTTGCCCGTCTTGGCCTCAATGTTATCATCTGGGAAATAGGCAAAGGAGAGGAAACATAACATGGAATTCCTCCAAGTGGGACCCTCAGAGCTGCAGGATTCAATTCACCATGTAGCTGCTACATGGTGGTATGCACCATACTGCAACAATTTTCCCTGTTTTTGTTTGTTTGTTTGTTTGTTTTACTTTTTGATCTCCTAATTCAAAATTCTGGAGAATTTTAAATCTGGTCATAAACAGAAAGATTATAGGCAGTGTCTATGCATACAAGGCTCAATAAGACCATACCAAAATTTGTTCTAATTTTATTTGCACATCTGTGAAATGGCCCTATGAGTGACCCTGCACAGTGCCTATTACCACTGCTGTTTTAAGAAGACCTTTGATAACTAAGTCTGCAAATATAAAAAAGGCCTCTGATCAATTTAGGAAACGTGTCTTCTCCCAAGGGTTCTGAGTTCTACCTCCTAAAGCTGTTTCCTTTTCCACCTGATAGTGTAGCAAAAGTTTTAAGATGGGTTTAACTGTCCTATAACTTTGAGGTTTTATCTTTCTATACAGATTTCTCCTTCAGGAAAATAGTCTTGTGAACAACAGCACACCTACCTATTTAAAAAATAGGTTAAATGTTTCTTCCTGCCATTCTACACTCCCTTCCCTTAGGCAAAAATTGTTCCCAAATGCAATGTACTCTCTATTCCTAATAAACTTGCTTTTGCCTTTGTCATGCTACTTTTATAGAAGAAAGGGGAAAAAAAGAGGTGGGATAGGGAAAGTACAGATATTGCTGAAAGGTGAATGCCACCCCTACTGCTGCATCTCAAATATTCACTTGGGTTTTTCTCTAGTGAATGTTCAGCTACCCCTCAGCTCTCAAAATCTAGAGGTCTTTGCAGTGATTCCAACACATGAAAATTGGACACATATGTGTGGCTTCTGTACATCCACGAATTTTCCACTGGAGAAAAATTACTTGAAACTAATAGGAAAAAATAAGCCTGTTGAAACTTCCTTTCTTGTTCAAGCTTTTCATTATGGCTATAAAGCAAAATAGAGAAATGTAAAATCTAAGATTTGACCTCAAAATCTTTATTATCATATGCATTCTAACTTTAAAGAACATACCTTTTTAGATACATTGGCTGTTTTTCTTTTCTTTTCACCATTACTAAGAGTTTTAAGGAGTTCAAGAGGAGAGAATTGTTTTAATCAATTCAGATAATTTTTTTAAAAGAAGATAAAATTGAGTTCATTTTTGTCTTTAGATACTTTTGCCATTTTTCTACCCTTTGTTTTTTATCCTTTTTGGTGCTGAAGATTTTTGTATCCTTTTCTGAAAATTAGTCTCTTTATGATTAAAAAGCAAGTCGGAAGTTCTTTGAACTTTTGCTTGTTTTATTTTGTCAAAAAGCCTTTTCACCTCCCAATATCACTGATAAATCAATGGGTCCAGAGGTATTGTAGCTCCTTACCCATGAGACTATGTGGGTTTCTAGGCTGTAAGTTTGGTTTCTACGATTGGGATAGAATAAAAGTCTGAGAGGGACGTAGGCTAAGGGAGCTTTAAAGTTGACCTAGTTCTTGAACAGTAGTGTGCTTTGACAGCACATGCAAAGAGTGGAAAACAGGGTTCTCATGACTAATCAAACTTTGCCAAAGTCTCATCAAAACAGATCTTGGTAAACAGGTCTTAGCAATGAATAGTACTAGATTACAAAACCAGTATGCATGTATTACCAACGGTTTAAGGAAAACACCAGGATAAATGCAACAAGATGTTTTCTCCCAATGAAAGGGTCATCTCAGTCTGAATCCCATGTTGTTCCCATGTAGGAACTTTGAGTCAAGGGGTGCATTCAGAGATCCTTTGAGAACTCAATTGACGGCACTAACTATTCTTGTCTTCCCATTTTTCTGGCTACAGATTACTACTGAGACACCTAAAAGAATCCTAGATTTGTCTGTCATTGTAATGGTGCACATCCCAGAAGAAAGAATGTAAATACCAGAAAATATACTGTCCTCTTCCCATTTCCCATTCATTTGTTTCTGACAGGGCAGTAAACACCATCCTGCAGGTCATGTTTTCATTATATTGAGTCAAGCAATAATCTCCAAAATGATGTCTATGTCCTTTCAGACAACCACAAGGTTATAAAACCTATTGAGCAACTTCATGTATGCCAGACTCTGTGCCAAGCACCTTGCATACATTTTCTCATTTGAGTCTTAAAACAGTCATGAGAGGGAGGTATCATTAGCCCTGTTGACAGATGAGAAAACTAAGGGTTAACTTACTCACATGAAGTCACGGAGCCATTGTTAGTCATATCGAAGGACTCTAAAACCTGTGCTCTCAATCACTACAATCTCCAGTCTTCAACGAGTCTAAGGTCTAGTTGAAGAGATAAAATATTGCCACATGAAATACTGGCAAAAGAATAATAATAATAATAAAACACCAAAAATCCAAACATATACAAAGATTATTTTTTCTTTTTCCTATACTATGTTTTTTAAATAGCATAAGTAAATAATAACTTGGAAATGAAGTATAGAGTGACCATTACTAAGAGTTTTAAGGAGTTCAAGAGAAGAAATTTTAAAAAATTATTTAATAAAAATTTTTAAAAAGAAGATAAAATTGATTTGGTTTTTGTCTGGCAGGTAGCATTTGAAGATCAGAAGGGTTTCCAGTGTTGTAGGAGGATTTTGAGGCCATCTTCATAATATACAATGTAAATACTTCTGTTTATTAAAAAGCTTCAGGAAAAATAAACCATTCTTTTCATGGGTGCTAATGTTAAGTAGGAAATCAGGTTTCTATAGGGAACCTTATTTTAAAGTTCATAAGCTTTGACAAGGTAATTCCATTTCTAGAAATATTCACCAAGGAAATGGAAGACATTCAGAAGAAAATAATTATTTATTTATTCAAAACCTTTTGATTGAGTGCTCACCATACCTGTACGGCAAAGTGTGCTAGACCCTATGACACAGCAGTAAGCAAGACTAGGACGTTCCTCCCAGACTTTCTGAGGGTGTTATTTACAATAATGAAAAATTGGTTTCCAGTGAAATGTTCAACAATGCAGGGATGTTTAAATAAACTGTATTATGGCCGTAGAACTTAATACTGAGGATCCATGAAAAATCATATTTTCAAATATATTTAATAGCAGTGGAAGATATCCACAGTAATGTACAGGAAAAAAAATTTGCCTCTGGGACTATGTAGTTTTTCAAGTCAAATTTTGGGGCTTTTCTAATTGCAGTGTGAATAAAAATCTGAGAAGGATACAAGCAAAGTAGTTTTTTTAGTGTTGCTTGTATTATGATCCCAATTTTAAAAATATTTATATGAGTATTCCAATATTAAAGTATGTACTTATACCTATACTTAAATGAATGTGGTTATTTCCTAATGGCAGCATTGTGTCCAACCTTTATTTTCTTTTTTATATGTCTTTATGCTTTCTAAAATGAGCATGTTTGACTTTTATAATCAGGAAAAAATATTTTGAAATAAAATAAGAATAAGAATTAAGGCAACCTCCTCCACATATTTTACTGTCCTTCTTTCAAATAGTATCAGGAAAAAAAAATAATTGTGATATTTCCTTACACTGGAGAGCTCTCCCAAGAGGATCCATATTTTTAGTTCCTGTTTGTGGAAGTAAAGCCCGTACTATGAAAAATAAGGCAGAATCCTTTTAAATGACAAGATTCAGTTAATTCCATGTCTTGTTCAGTTGGTCTTATATCCGGGAACTGGAAGCACAGGTTTTGTCTCTAAGATAACCTGCAATGAATCAGACCATTCAGTTTTTTTCTTTCTTTTTGAGACAGAGTCTCACTTTGTCGCCCAGGCTGGAGTGCAGTGGTGCGATCTCAGCTCACTGCAACCTCCGCCTCCCGGGTTCAAGTGATTCTCCTGCCTCAGCCTCCCGAGAAGCTGGGATTACAGGCAAACACCACAACACCTGGCTAATTTTTGTATTTTTAGTAGAGACGGGGTTTCACTATGTTGGCCAGGCTAGTATCGAACTCCTCACCTCGTGATCCACCCACCTCGGCCTCCCAAAGTGCTGGGATTACAGGCATGAGTCACCGCACTCGGCCTGACCATCCAGCTTTTATGGCTCCACGTCCATCATGTCTGGGCAGTTCCAGCTTGAGACAAACAGCCCTTCAGTGAATTTACAAGGTAGATTGCAAGAGCCTTGCAGAGTTCAGAAAACCACAAGTCACATAAAAAATAGGTCTGAGAAAGTAGTCTAGGCTTTCAAAACCCTCTCCTTAAAAACAAAGTGACTAATACCTAAGATATTTCTGTAAACACACTCAACACATAGTAGGCATTTAATACACATTAGTTTCCATTCCTTTCTTATTTATTTAAATCCTATCTGAAAACAACATGTATTCATAAACTTTTATAGCTGAGTCAAACTGTCACAAAAATGGAAGGAATGTTTGCATTACCATCGTGATAATGTTGTTGGGGAAAGTTTGTTTCATGAAAGGTTGGGGGTTTGTTTTCTTCTGATGACCTAATAGTCAACACAGTAGAAGTGTATTACATGAAACTAGACTAGAAATATATTACATGAGACTTGGAAAAGATAACTCATGAGTTAGGATTTATCATTGGCCAGTGGAATTTTTTTTACAATAAAATAAGAAAACCTGAGCCGAGGATCCATTTGTGGAAAATACATGATGTGAATAATCCGAATACTGCTTTTAAATTAGGGTTAGAAGTCCTGCTTCAAAGGAATTTCATTACGCCTGGTTCTCCTTTTCATATTCAAACTTTGGAGCCAGGATTGAAATCCTGGATTTTTCAGGTGTCTGCATTTTAAAAGATTTTGTTTATGTTAAGGCTGGTCACTTTAATAGGTATGTTTTAAGGAAAACATTACCTTTGTGTGACCTTTGGGATTGGAAGGTGAAAATTCAGTCACTGGAAAAAAGTCATCCTCATTGTCACGGGTGAAATCTCTAACATTAAAGACAATTGTGTCTCATCCTGTGAGTGTCTTCATACAGCAATTAAAAAAAAAAGTTCAATCACAGCTGGGACAAAGTCAGTTCTGATGGATCAAGATTATTAACTAGAAAAACACAGCATGGTCAAAATAAGCATGTTAAAATAAATAAACTAGTAGCATTTTATGAAAGCAGCAAAACATTTTCAGTGATTCTTAAGAAAGCAGGCTTCAATCCCCCAACCCCTCCCAAGTCTTAATTTGTTATTATAAGCTAAGCACTTTACCTCCAAAAGGAAGAATACAATTGTGCCATTTATCATATATCAGAATTACACAGGACATCATGTTAATGATCATTTATTCCTAGCTACTTGAAGAATAATACCCAGTAATTATAGCAAATGTAAGTCAAATAGTAATAGCATACTTTAAATAGTATAGTAATTATAAGTTATGTCCATGCATCCGGGACAAGGGTCTTTTATGCTTGGTATTAAATCTGTTCTGCAATTTATTCTTAATATCATCGCTGGGGTTGAAGAAAGGAAGCTTGCCTGTAGAAAGGAAACTTGTTGTCCTTTCACATTTCCAATAAGTCATTTGAAGAAAACGGTTCTTTGCATGCCTTGCTAAACCCAATTACCACCAAGACATCATAAACAAATATTCATTGCATTTACAGCTGCTTCTTTATTGCACAATGCAAAATGTATTGTTAAATTTAAACCATTTAAAAGGAGTAAGCGCTCAGATTTCTGCATTCATTTTAAACTTAATTGAAAAAAAATCAAGCATGTGTTGCAGTATTTTCTTATTTAGAGACTGTTGCTAAATGAACAATCATATAATACTCTCAAGTATAGCAAATGCTGGACAAAAATGTGGGCATCTCTGGCTTGGTATTTGGTAACATAGAGATCTACCAGTGGCTTCAGTGGAAAGATGCTAAACAAAAGTTTCATAAAGTTTTAGGATGAAGTGCAACTACTTAAAAATAACTTGATTCTCCTGAATCCCACTCAATAGAATCAGTTGATGTGAGTCTTCTGAATGCTCAGAGCACACTTTGAAGCATTCCATACCACTGCTGCTTTCTTAACTCTCTGAAGCTAATAGATCCATTAATGACGTATGTCCATAATTCCAGTCTATGGTGGGGGATGGGGAGGACTTTAATTGGTAATCCAGAAAAGAAATTCTCATAAGAAAATATCCTCCAAGGCCCTTCAAAATTTGATTCCTACCAATCACTCTAGGCCTGTTCAACAAATGACACTCTCAGTGGCATCTCCAGCCATAGTGAAAGAATCTCCCTCCAGCCTTTCTCTGCTGCAAAAGTCACTCTTGTAACAGATACCTCTCCTCTATTTCTTCATCTGGTAAACAACAACCTGTCACTCAGGTTTTAGCTATGTGTCACCTCTTCCAGGAAGTCTTCCATGCCCACCTCCATCCATTAGCCTCACTGATGTGCTCTGTTAATATCCTTTACTTTTCCCTGATGGTGATCTGCATCATATTTCATTGCAACTGCTTGTTTATTTTTCTACTAATCCCTTCTCATAGAGGGCAGGTGGTATCGAACATTCCAACTCAACATCAAGCTTCTACTGCCTACCACACGGATTGGCCCAAAGCACGGGCTCAGTATATATTTGTTTTATTGATGAATGACCCCAGGTCTAGCTTCTCATACTGCTGTTCAGAGCAAAGCTTTGGGAGTGGAGGGAGACAGAAGGGTAAGTTTGCAGGCACGGGCCAAAATTTATTAGGGTATACTGGGAAAGAGTCTACCTTGGTGCAATTAAGTTTGCTCACTTAATTTTCAAGTAGATTCCTTCTTACCTTCTCTGCTTTCTCTATCCTTCCTTGACTAATTTTATACATTTCAGCTTCCCAGAACCTTTTTTCTTTTTTTGAGTTGGAATCTTACTCTATCGCCAGGCTGGAGTGCAGTGGTGTGATCTCGGCTCGCTGCAACCTCCGCCTCCCAGATTCAAAGGAGTCTCTTGCCTCAGCCTCCTGAGTAGCTGAGACTACAGGCGCACGCCACCACACCTGGCTAACTTATGTATTTTCAGTAGAGACGGGGTTTCACCATCTTGGCCAGGATGGTCTTGGTCTCTTGACCTCGTGATCCCCCTGCCTTGGCCTCCCACAGAGCTGGGATTACAGGTGTGAGACACTGTGCCCAGCCCGGAACCATTAATATATGTTCATGTTTATTATAAAATTCCATGAAGGGCATTTTCCAACCTTATTTGCTCATGAAATATTTTGTTCTGAGAGCACCCACTGAGATTTCAGAAAAATGGTATTCAAGGAACACAATTTGAGAAGTTCTGTCCTGGGTCACCTTTTTTGTGATTTTATATTTTAACCCCTACATCTATAAAATGGGGATACAAATTGTCTGCAATGATGTAATAGGAAAAAGAAATGTGTTATGAGTCAAAGCATCTATTGATCTCATTGATCTACTGCATGATAAAGACTCGCCTTACACCACTCGAAAGAGAAGCATCTCTTGAATGAAGAAATAGAAAAGATCTGCACAGTAGCATCTGCATAATGAATTTCAATCTTTCTACATATTTCCAGACCCCACTTATCATCAAATAGCATTTATTAAGCATGTGGTTCATATGTCTGTGTTAATAATTAAGTAAACAATCTCTGAATTAATAGATAAATGAGTAAATGATGATCTTCCTACAATTTCTCTCTCTGATCACCTTTTAGAACAAACTTCATAAAATAAAGTATAACGCAATAGCAAAAACATGGAATCAACCTAAATGCCCATCAATGATAGACTAGATAAAGAAAATGTGGGACGGGACCAGGCATGGTGGTTCATGCCTGTAATCCCAGCACTTTGGGAGGCCTAAGCAGGTGGATCATTTGAGGTCAGGAGTTCGAGACCAACCTGGCCAACACGGCGAAACCCTGTCTCTACTAAAAATACAAAAATTAGCTGGGTGTTTTGGCTTATGCCTGTAATCACAGCTACTCAGGAGGCTGAGGCAGGAGAATCGCTTGAACCGGAGGTAAAGGTTGCAGTGAGCTGAGATCGCGCACTGCACTCCAGCCTGGGCAACAGAGAGAAACTCCATCAAAAAAAAGAAAGAAAAAGAAAGGAAAAGAAAATCTGGTACATATACATACCATGTAATACTCTGCCGCCGTAAAAAGGAACAAGATCATGTCCTTTGCAGGGACACACATGGAGCTGGAAGCCATTAGCCTTAGCAAATTAACACAGGAACAGAAAACCAAATATCACATGTTGTCACTTACAAGTGGGAGCTGAATGATGAGAAATCATGGACACATTGGGGGGAACAACACACACTGGGGAATGTAGGAGAGTAGGGAGTGGGAGGAGGGAGAGCATCAGGAAGAGTAGCTAATGGATGCTGGGCTTAATACCTAGGTGGTGGGATAATCTGTGCAGCAATGCACCATGGCACGTTTCCCTACGTAACAAACCCGCGCATCCTGCACATGTAACCCTGAACTTAGAATAAAAGTTGGAAATTAAAAAAAAAAATTAAAAAGAAACTGTAACCAAGAGAAGAGTGTAATTGAGAAGGCTTCCACATTCCATCTCTTCCCAGTCTTATGTACATATCACTGATGTACATTAACATCAGTTAACATATCACTGATGTACATTAAAATGCAGTTAATGAAGAAATTTACTCATTTCCTTTCTTTCCCACCCAGAATTTTCTTTTGAGAATAACACTGCTACTAGCACAACCAAACAATATCACAGTGAGTGGCCAACTTCTAGAATTCTGATATTAGAAGAGCAGAAAAGAAAAAAGAAAGGGTCAGATGAGCTGATGTTATTATGTCCAAGAATAAAAGGTGTAACAAGCATAAAATTACAAACCTATAATGTTATTAAGGAATTTTGGAGAATCAAGCTAAATTCTCATGGTCCACGCTGAAATGATGGCTTTGTGTTTCATAATATTTCCATCATCCACTGTGTATGAGGAGACCGAGAAAAGCATTTCAGAATTTTTTAACCACAAGATTATTGCTAACCACTCAGTGGTAGGGATGAAATAATTTTCATGATTGAGGTCAGTTGTGCTCAAATTAAATTTTATAAAATAGAGGAATAGGCCGGGTGCGGTGACTCATGCTTGTAATCCCAGCACTTTGGGAGGCCGAAGCAGGCGGGTCACTTGAGGTCAGGAGTTCGAGACCAGCCTGGCCAACATGGCAAAACACCATATCTACTAAAAATACAAAATTTAGCCGGGCATGGTGACACATGCCTGTAGTCCCAGCTACTCGGGAGGCTGAGGCAGGAGAATCACTTAACCCCGGGAGGCGGAGGTTGCACTGAGCCGAGATCACACCACTGCACTCCAGCCTGGGTGACAGGGCAAGACTCCATCTCAAAAAAAAAAAAAGAAAGAAAGAAAGAAAGAAAAAAAACAAATATAGAGGAATAATTTGAAAATAGAAAGGGCTACAAGAGACTTTCCATGAGCCTTATATTTGGCAATCGCCAAAATAAATAAAATTAAGTGAAATTAAATTAAATACAATGGGTACAGCCAGCGTTTTTGACCTTGTTACTTTTAAACTTAGCCTATACCCAACATCTAAACATCCGTTTAAAGGATGAAACATGAAGTTAGTCTTGTAAATATGGTCTGTGTATGGTCTGATACACAGATAGCTAGAAACATCTGGCAGTTTTGGCTATACGATTCCATGGTTAGGCTTTTCCAAAACACAGAGGAGGTTAACAAATTCAGACTCCAAACATCCCAAAGACTATCTAACCACTCTCATTTAATCTGGCTATTTTTATATCTCATAGGTTCAGCCTTCACCTGGAAATGAAGGAAAAGTTTCATGGGATTTAATTATTTGTGACTATTCTTTGTAGTTCAGTGAACAGAGTACATTAGGCTTCATTTGGGTAAGAGATCTGAAAAAAAATTGACTTCGGGAAAAAAGGGGACTGGTTTATCATAGAATGCATGGAAGGTTTGGAAAGTTAAACTACAAAGAGAGCAAAGATGCAGCTAAGATTCATGAGTAACTAGAACTAAAAACTCAAAAGGTCACCTGTAGTCACGTTGATTTGGTTCTGTCTGCATGTCAACCTGTGTCTAACCCTGCCAACCAGCTTTCCCCACAGAGCAGGAAACGTGGGGCCATCTTATTAGTTGTCTGCTGCTATGTAACAAATTCCCACAAACTAAGCAGCGTAAAACAATTTTTATAAATAAAACTCTGAGTTCCTGTGGGTTAGAATGACGGCTTGGCTTATCTGGGTCTTCTGCCTGGAACTTCATATGCCTGCAATGAAGCTGTCAACCAGGGCTTGATCCTTATCAAAGGCTTGGCTGGGGAAGGATCTGCTTCTGGTCGCTGCTAGAGTTCATTTCCTTGTGGTCGCTGCATTCATGGAAGCTTGCTTCTCAATGCCAGGCCATGACGGATGGGGATTCTCAATGCCAGGCCATGATGGAGTCTTGTATAATTAATGGAATCACAAGAGTGGCATCCTTCTCCTTTGCCATGCCCAGTGAAGGTTAGAATCAAGTCTCAGGTTCTGCTCATGCTCAAAGTGAAGGGATTATGCAAATGAACACCAGAAGCAGGGATGTGGGGGTCCCCTTAAAGTTCATCCACCACAGCCACTAACAACCTAGGAATTGTACACATTTTAGCTCTACTACTAGAAAATAATGGTCTCTCTCTCTCTTCTCTGTTTCTCTCTCTCTCTCTCTCTGTGTGTGTGTGTGTGTGTGTGTGTGTGTGTGTGTGTGTGTGTGTGTGTGTGTGTGTGTGTGTCTTTCCTTTGGTTCTAGTTTGTCCTGTTTGGAAAATCCTAGGGAATGATTCTAACTGACCATTACTGCACCAGTCAATGGCAGCCAAGGATGTGCAGCTCCCAAATTAGCGAGGACGACAAGTCATGGCAAAGTGTGTTTTCCAGGAAATAGGGAATAAGGGTGCAAGTTCCCAAGCCCTAGTTCTCTGAAACCATATTTACACTATTTTAGAAAACCTGACCCATTATATGGCTTTGTGTGTCTTTGGGGCTTGAAGATCTAGTTTTCTTCACAATTTCAGAATGAGGGAAGAACTTCCTTTTACCTACAAACAGTGTCAGATAGACCACAATCTTTGGTCTTAGGATGAAAAGGGAAATATTTTACTATCATTTTTAATTTTATTCATTTATTATTTTTGAGACAAGGTCTTGCTCTGTCACTCAGACAGGAGTGCAGTGGCGTGGTCATGACTCACTGCAGCCTTGACCTCTTGGGCTCAAGCGGTCCTTTCACCTCAGCCTCCCAAGTAGCTGGGACTACAGGCATGTGCCACCACACCAGGCTATTTTTTTTTTTTTTAATTCATAGAGATGATGTCTAGCTATGGTCTTGAACTCCTGAGCTCAAACAATCCTCCCACCTCAGCCTCCCAAAGTATTGGGATGACAGCTGTGAGCTACTGTGTCTAGCCAAGGTAAACATTTTAAATCCAACAAATAAAGTCTGAAATAATTTTTCTATAGCGAAATAAAATAAAATGCCAAAAAGGTAAACCTCCGAGTGTATTTATTCCTGTTTGCCATCATTTGAAACAGAAAAGTATCTATCTACCCACTTTCTTCTTAATAACAACTTAGATATAGCCATGCTACAATAAACTCATGCTGTAGAATTTAGAAAACTAGAATTACAAAATACTGCTTAGTTTCTCACATTTGCCATGTCACATGCAAACTGCAAGACTAAAATTCAAGGTTTTTGTTTGTTTGTTTTCTGAAATGGAGTCTCGCTCTGTTGTCCAGGCTGGAATGCAGTGGCATGATCTCAGCTCTCTGCAACCTTCACTTCCCAGGTTCAAGAGATTCTCCTGCCTCAGCCTCCCAAGTAGCTGGGATTACAGGTGCCCGCCACCAAGCCTGGCTAATTTTTGTGTTTTTAGTTGAGACAGGGTTTCACCAGGTTGGTCAGGCTGGTCTCAAACTCCTAACCTCAAGTGATCCACCCATCTTGGCCTCCCAAAGTGCTGGGATTACAGGCGTGAGCCACCGTGCCCAGCCCCAAAAATGTTTTATGGTATTTTTTTGGGTCTCCCTGGCCTAACTGGGCCTACACAAAAATAAAATAGTACTGTGAAATTAATAATTAAGGATGGAGAGAGGAAAACATAAATAGGATGATATAGAACCCTACCACCTAGGAACCAGTCAAAACCTTCTTTCTGTATTTCAAAACAATGTTATGAAAAACAGTAGCCCAATCTTGACCTTTTTATAATTTTCAGTTAGTCACATTTAATTTTAGAAATCCAAAGCTACTGAAGACCTTTTTCCTAACCTTAATATGTTCAGTTTTTATATTTAACATATGAAAAACACTAAAACAAAATTTTACTGAGCTTTTAATAACAGGAAATACCCCCACCACAGCATGTTTGAAATTAAGGTGGCATTTGATAATTCGATAAAGAGGTACAAAATATTTAGATCTGTGTTGCAAACTTTAAGAAACACTATAAAATAAAGAGAGCGAAGGATTCCCAGAAGAGCTGTTTTTGTTTGTTTGGGATGTGAAACCAGGAAAGTAAATTGCCAAATAAGAACAGAAGCATAAATTAGATCAAGAGACAGCTAAGACATCTTTATGGAAAGAGAAAATTGATGAATGTAGCCTGGGAGCAAGGAGATGGAGTTAAAGTGCATAGCTTGTCTTCTATCAAGCAATCCTTAAAGACAATGAACAGTAATGTTCTAAAAAAATGTCACTTCTCAGGATATCCATTTTTATATGCATTTGCCAAACAAGGGTGAAGTGTGAGGGCAACCCTTTATTGGACTGGCCCATCTGTCAGATAAAACTGACTTCCTGGAACCAGGACCACAAATGTCAACATGATTGACCCAACTCCTAAGGTTTTTAAGTTAACACTCCCCTCGAATTTGACAGTGTGTTTTTTAGATGAGATAAAAACAAAACAAAACAAACAACAACAACAAAACCCATCCTTTGAATATGATAAATCCAGTGAAAATGTATTCTTATCGATTTAGGCATATTCTAAACATCTTTCTTTCTTAACTTTTAAGTTCAGGAGTACAAGAGCAGGTTGTTACATAGGTAAACTTGTGTCATGGGGGTTTTTTGGTACAGATTATTTCATCACCCAGGTATTAACCCTAGTATCCATTAGTTATTTTTCCTGATCCTCCCCCTCCTTCCACCCTCCACCCTCTTAAAGGCCCCAGTGCATGTTGTTTTCCTCTGTGTGCCCACGTGTTCTTATCATTTAGCTCCTGTGAAAACATGCAGTATTTGGTTTTCTGTTCCTGTGTTGGCTTGCTAAGGGTAATGGCTTCCAGCTCCATCTATGTCCCTGCAAAGTACATGATCTCATTCTTTTTTATGGCTGTATAGTATTCCATGGTGTATATGTACCACATATACTTTCTTTATCCGGTCTCTCATTGATGGGCATTGGGTTGATTCCATGTCTTTGCTATTGTGAATAGTGCTGCAATAAACATATGCATGCATGTGTCTTTATAATAGAATGATTTATATTCTTTTGGGCATGGACAACACATGGAGACATAAATTCATATAGAGTTAGTGAATGGTTTAAACAGTTCTCTGGAGGAAAAGCCAAACAATCCTCTAATTTGTGTGATGTGAAAATTTAGTTTTGTGGACTTCATGAAGGAGATATAGTAACACAGAAATCTTCACTAACTTTTGATTAATGGCAACTTTAACCATCTCCCAACTGTTAGTCCTATGAAGTTATTATAGTCACCTTTTAAAATAAAAATAAATGGTGGTCTACAATTTCATAAATAAGATACTTAAACAATATAATGATGATGACGGTGATGTTGGTAGGTGCTTCTCTCCCCTGACCACCTTCTAAAGCAGCAGCATAGAGAAGGAGATGGAAACAAACTTTGGAATTCACTATAGAAGTCTGGATGGGAACCCCAGTGATTTAGAGTTAAAATCATTCTTTAAGTCTTAGGTTTTCTTTCATCTGTAACACAAGTGAACATAAAAATAGTACCTACCAGCTACGGGGATTTTCTGAAATAATATGTATAAAGTGCCCAACACAGAGCGAAACTTAATAAGACTAAGTTAGAATTATTACTATGTACCATGTATTCGTTTACTACAGACTTTTTGTTTGTGTCTTGTTTAATCCCCAGAGCAACCCATTCTTTACAGATGAAGGAGACAGATTCAGAAAGGAGAGGTAACGTGCACAAGGCCAGATGAATAAGGAGCAGAGTCAAAATTTAACCTCAAGTCTGTCTACCTTCAGTGTCTGTTGTCACCCACTTAACAAAATAGGAGAAAAGCCTTTTTTTTATTATTGTTGTTTCCCTGCAGGCCAGAGAAAATGGTATTCCAAAGAAAAGAAGGAAAGAAATATTATACTGTATGGCGCTTCTGATAGACGGTTGTAAAGCTAAGTCTGATGTCTGGATCTGGCAAAGAAAATTCCAACCATGAAATCACTCCCTTTCTAGTCTGTTTAACACTGTCCTGCTTTTCTCTAGGACATTAAATTGTGATTCATGTATTCATTCAATAATTGTTAAACATCCCTGCTGCACTCAATATTGGGCTAGGATCCATGTGGATGCGGTCTGACAGAGGATGTCGACTTGTCTACAAACTGCAGGCATAAATTCCAAATTGACAGAGGAAGCAGAGAAGCTTCAAGAATGAATATTAGGTTGGTGTAATTGCAGTTTTCACCAAATTAATAGCAAAAACAGCAATTACTTTTGCACCAACAGTATAATTAAGTTGAATTAGAAATCAGAGTAGCAGTTCAATCAGAGAAAGAGGTGCCACCTAACAAATTCTTGGGGCACGTTATGTAGCGGATAAAAACAAACAAACAAGCAATTCAAGACCCATGAGGGAATTTATGATAGAAACTGGAAGTTTCTCAGCCAGTATCAATGCATTGATATTAGAGATGCAAAAAAGAGATGAATAAGGAAGTATCTTCTTCTTAAAATAATATGCAACATTGTTTTACTAGTCAACAAACTTTCATGTCCATACCCTAAAAATATACCCATCAAAATAGATATTACCAGACAGACAATGACTAACTATAGTTACAGAATTGGAAACCTATTACAAAAATCTTAAATGTATATGCATCATTTGTATTTTGAGAATAGAGGGCTGTATTTCTGTTAGCATATGAAGTCCTATGTATACGCATGCTATTGGATAATCATCAGGATGGCATATATGTTGAATTAGATTGATTGACAGTCTAGTGCTAATTTGGTTTAGCACCTTTTCCCAATGGATATTACAATGTGTCTCCTTGTATAAGAGTCATCTATTAGTCATAATAGCAAACTATAAGGTACATAGAATGCAGGGCTCCCTACTCGGGTTCCCTTCTTTACTGTCTCACTTTCCAGCAGCTGTGATTGCCCCAAACTCAGCTCTGGTTCTTCAAGCCAGAAAGTGCACGAGTTTTCCATTGAGTTCTAACGAGTCAGCAGTACAGCATGTCTTAGACAGGCCCGCCAGCAGCCTCAAAGCCATAAAAACAAGAAACTCACACCTCACTGTTCCCTTTGCCTAGTGTCAGCTTGCCTTCTGGATCCACCTGCTCTGGGCCTCTTTCCAAATGCCCTCATATAGGCTTTTTTTTCCCTTTATGTTTTATCCAGAATATATGATTATCTGTGAGAGGGTTAATCCAATTGGAGCTCACTCAGCTATAAACAAAAGAGGAACTCCCAGCTTGACAGTAATAAAGTGAAAATTGCACTATTAGTATCATTTAAAGACTATCAAAGTAAAGACTCTCTCCATATTTTTTTAATTTTTTTTACTGTCAAGGAAATACATTCTTCCACCACAGAGTTTCTATAGAAAGTTCAAAGATCTTCAAAAATAAGACAATCATTTTGTAATTTCAGACTGATTTGTTTTAAAAACCCAGTAACTACAAACTTTGGGTGATAACTACTATGGCTAATTTAGGCATTATGAAAGAGTCTTAGGCCACATCTCTTACAAATATCTTGCGAGGATAAACCAGAATGCAGGGAGTTCTAATCATCTCATTTGCCTAATCAGCTTACTAGTAAAGAAGTTGGCCATCAAGAAATATCTACCAGTATAAGGAGGTTTTGAGATCATGAAACATGTATATATATACATACATTATAGACTTTATAATCTAAGATTGACATTTGATATTGAAATTAAGAAGTGAAAGATAGATGCTGAAAAGGAGATGCAAGAGGAAGAATAAATGTAAAATGTTGTCAAGCTATTGTTTTGTTGTTGTTGCTAACTTTGGAACACTTCAACCAGTCTCAATTTAGCTTTGTCTTAGTAGTTATGGTACTAAACAGAATTACAGCATTCTAAAACTTGCCTTATATCTGATAGGAAATATGACCTGATACATGAAATTGTATCTCTTTTTGTAAAACAAACCTAATTTTAAATTATTCAGAATCATTCTTCATCATTCCATAAAGCCCTAGTAAAATAGCATGTTATTCAATTATAATCAGTGATTGTATTTTTCACTGCAAATAAATCTAGGGCCGTAATAAAGATAGATGTGCTAGCACTGTTTGCACATAGGGGATATAGTGAAGCACCTATTTTTACCTCTTAAGTCATTGGAAATGTCATTTGAGAAACAAACCTTAAAATTTAAATTTAATGAATCAATAAAAATTTACAAAATTACCTTAAAAAGATAAAATTAACTCTAAGCCAGCAAGATTGGATAGTAAGAGGATGATATATATTAACATGCCAATAGAAAGAATGTGTGGACGGAAAGGTGTTACTCACTCCTGAAGCAAAAAAAAAGGAATCATAAAAGCAGACCTTAGCAAGCCAGGTGTAGCTGTTGTCCCAGCTACAGTCCCTCCAGACTGACGTGGGAAGATCACTTGAGCTCAGGAGTTCAATTCGAGCCTGGTCAATGTAGCAACCATCATTCTCAGCAAACTATTGCAAGGACAAAAAAACCGAACACTGCATGTTCTCACTCATAGGTGGGAATTGAACAATGAGAACACATGGACACAGGAAGGGAAACATCACACACCGGGGCCTGTTGTGGGGTGTGGGGAGGAGGGAGGGATAGCATTAGGAGATATACCTAATGTTAAATGATGAGTTAATGGGTGCAACACACAAACATGGCACATGTATGCATATGTAACTAACCTGCACGTTGTGCACATGTACCCTAAAACTTAAAGTATAATTAAAAAAAAAAATCTTAGCAATGCCCACTCAAACTGGGTGACATTTTCAGCAAGGAAAAGATATAATTTAATTTCAAAAATATTGCATTTTAGAAAAACTACATTTGGCAGCCCAAGTTGATGTCAGGTATATTCCTACTGGAAAGAGGGTATACCTAAAAATCTCATTTATTCATTTACTCATCCATTTATTTTACAATCTTCTACTGAAGGCCAACAAAATTCCAGGAACTGGGAAAGACAGTGATAATATGGTGGAGAGGTCAACAGACAGAACCAACATCATTAAGCTTTCACTTTAATTGGAGCGATAAGCAATAATTGAATATTCACACCTAGAATATAATTAGTTAGTGGTCATTTCTAGGAAGGAAATGTTGAGGAGATTACAAAAATTTCAAGAAATAGGCTTATGGTGGGTTGGAAACATACCCCAAGATCACACTATTGTAGATTGGTGGGGTGGGATTTGATCCCGAGCATTCTGGATCCGGAGCCCATATTTGTAAATTACACAAGTGTTAGCAAAGCAAATATGCATAGATTGTAACTTTAATCTGCTTCTAGATAGGTCTCTTGGTTTTCAAAATAAATCTAGCTATTGGGCCAGCTCTTTCAGGGTTGTCTAATCTCTGGTCCTCTACCCATACCATTGATTTAAATCTTCTTTTCCGTAGACAAATCTTGGAAGCCAGGTTTGAATTCTGTTACTGTGGCCATGCTGGTTCGTGACCTAGCCTTGATACTATAATGCAGGAAGTCCATATTGAAGCGTTTACATTCATAAAGTGTTTTCTCTATAGTGGTTTGTATTTCTGCATACCGATTCCAATATTATAAAGGCTGGGGGAAGGGAGTTCAATTGCACAGGACATTGGAATGAGTAAAAACAATATATTCTAAAAAATGCAGCACACATTGTTGCTTTTCATTCCATGTGTGGAACTGTGATACTGAAATGATTCTCTAAAAAACTCGAAGGGAATGCAGCCCATTGAGTTTCTTAAGAAAAGGACAATCCTTCAAGATTCACTGAAGTCTGATGTATGACAAGCTTCATTTCAAACATGCTTTAAAAACATGATGTAACTCTAACAAGTCAGACTTTGTAACTTGGCAGAAACCAAGTTTTTGAAATGTATTTATGTATGTGTTGGGTGTAAACTGTTATTGTACTGGAAAACTTCTTGAAAGGGATTTTCATAAGTCTCATCTTGTCTCTCTCAAGTGGCTGTTAAAAATAGAGTTTATTGGCAACTATTTTTTTCTGTTGTTAGAGAAGGATTAGCTTAATCCTGGTGAAATATCTTGGCATTTTACTATATTCAGTTTGATACAACTAAAACTTTTATTATGCACAATGCTAAAATAACTTCACATATCCTAAGTGAATCAAAAGTTATACATTTGTCAAGTCTGTTTTTACAGACCTGTGAAAACCAAAACACTCTTCTCTAAAAGAGATCATTGTTTGCTTTCCTACATGCATCTAAATTATTTTAATTTTGGAGTAATGCTTATTTCTTTTTTCCTATAAAATGTTGGAAACTTCCTCTATGTTCTTAATATAGTTTGATAGGATCAGTCAAGCAAACATTCTGATCTTCACTAAAGTATGCAATTTATGAAACCATTTTACTTGAAAATAACCCTATTTAGATTTAGGACATTTATTTCTACTACAGATGTTCTTTCCCATTATACAAAGTCCATTTATGGCTTTTTGTCCCTCAACCCCAAATCTGGGCCAGTCCAAAGCCAAGTTAAAAGGCAAAATGTGTGCTAATGCCCCATCAACCCGTTCATTTTCCTTTTTTTTCCTTCTCTGATTTTTCCTCTATTCATTTTTCCTTCTCATTTTCAAATATCCACTGCCCTTCTGAGAACAAAACATGAAATCTAAAATAATCTATCTTTGTCACTATTAGAACAATTTGAATTTAGGCCCATGTGGTCCCTTTCACTGAAGTATTTATCTTTTTTTTTTTTCTGAAACGGAGTCTCGCTCTGTCGCCCAGGCTGTACTGGAGTGCAGTTGTGTGATCTCAGCTCACTGCAACCTCTGCCTCCCAGGTTCAAGCAATTCTCCTGCCTCAGCCTCCTGAGTAGTTAGGATTATAGGCTCTTGCCAACAAGCCTGGCTAATTTTTGTGTTTATAGTAGAGATGGGGTTTCACCATCTTAGTCAGACTGGTCTCGAGCTCCTGACCTCAGGTAATCCACTCGCCTCGGCCTCCCAAAGTGCTGGGATTACAGGCGTGAGCCACCACTCCCAGCTTGAAGTATTTATCGTTTAAACCTCATCTCTACTTTTGAAAAAAGAAAGTGTGTTCTTGTTAAAGATTTTTGAAGAATTATTTAGTATGCATATAGCAGCATGCAACTGGTAGCTCCATGATCTGGAGCTACCAAGGTCAGTGACACAGAGAACAGGAGAGATGGAGGAGTCACAGCAGCTCTTAACTGCCTCCAAAGTCATTCCTTGCCTTCCCACTCCATTGGCCAGGCCCAGACACATGTCTCATTCTGATGACAAGGGCAGTGGGAAATGGGGGCCGCATGTGGCTGGTTACTATCTCAGCTCCTTTGACTACCCTTTGATCCTTTCTTCCTATGCATAACATGCCCATCATCTCCCTGAAAGAGATAACCCCAAATCCTGACCATTCACAGCACCCAGCTCAAAATCTAGACATTGCTCAATGGTGTCTTCATCAAACCTAGACATGACTCTTCTTGAGCTGGAAATGTATGAACTAAAACAAACATGCTTTCCCCAAACTCTCACACTTGAAAGCCCATGAAGAAATGATGCCAGGAAAACCACAATGGACACTCCCATTTAGAAAGGGGAAAAGCAGAAGATAGAAGGCAGCTGCGGTCCACAGTCACAGCTCATGGCAATTCTGAGATACTGCTGGAAGAACATTGTAAGGCCTCCTGCTCTGAGGGTTCAAAAAGTGCCTCAATTATGTTCCTTGCTGTTTCCCAGGCTCCACTGTATGGGAGCTCCCTTCTCGTCCATTTCAACTTGGCCATATACGAAGTGAGCACTGAAGAACATGCCCTCTCTGAAGGCTGATCAGCTTTTTCCTCATACTTCCAACTTACGGGATTTTGAGGACACAAGAATTGTTTTCAGTTTCATCAAAAGTTATTTGAGCCAGGCACCACTGGCTCATGACTGGAATCCCAGCACTTTGGGAGGCTGAGGCAGGAAGATCACTTGAACCTAGGAGCTCAAGACCAGCCTGGGCAAAATAGTGAGACCTCATCTCTATAACAAAATAAAGTAGAAAATGAGCTGGGCATGACGACATGCACCTGCAGTCCCAGCTACTCAGGAGACAGAGGTGGGAGGATCATTTGTGCTCGGGAATTCAAGGCTGCAGTGAGCTGAGATTGTGCCACTGCACTGCAGCGTGGGCAACTTAGCAAGACCCCATCTCTAAAAATAAATAAATAAAAAGTTAAAATAATAATAATTTTCAACGTTGTTTTATCCAGGCTCAATGTTTTTGGCAATTCATTTTTCTCCAAAACTAAGTACGTTTATGATCTTCTTAGAGATGGAAGCATTCGACTGCCGGCACAAGATGTTTGGTGTGTAGTGACTGCCTACCACAGTTAGGCATAAGTTTAATCCTCGCATCCCTGACGTGAAAGCATTGCCATATTGACCATTTTAGAGATGAGGAATGTAGGAACAGTTACTTTGAGAGGAAGAGTATCCTTCTTATAACACCTTAAAATACAGCAGGTAGGTAATGCTGACCTTGTCAATACGATGTTATTTTTTATATACATTGGTGTGTTGGATTGGTCTACAGAGGTTAACTACAGAGGCAATGAGACATGAAATTTGAAAACTGAACTCTTTCCCAAAAATTCAGTACTTGCAATGGTCACTATGTGTATGTCATACACATGATTTTTGTTTGTTTAACTCCACATTCATTAGGCTTTTTGTCGGTTTGTTTGTTTTTAGGCCAATCATTGAGATGTTATATTTTTGTCAGCTAGGTGCCTGTCTCTCTGATTTGGGGGTCACCAGGAGAGACTGGATAGCACTTACTTGTTAAAACACTTAAAACCTTGCATTGCACAATTTAAGTTTAATAAGAATCTTTTGCTGATTATGAGAAGCATAACTTTTAAATCTTTATTCTTGGTTGTCTCTGTGGCCTAATCTGTACAGGCACAGTTGAATGTAGGTAACATCTACTTGTTCTGATTCCTCATCAAGAGTTGTACAGAGCTTATGCTGTGGGACTGACGTTTCCAGGTCACAGTCGAAAAGCATCGCCAAGGCTTTTAGTTATGTCTGATTCTACAGGGCACATGTGCCACCTTTCCTTGGAGTATAATTTTGTTTTAGAAATGCATTGCATTCAAGACACCTTAGAAACACTGATTTAAATCCTGTCCTGCCAATGCTATTTGGAGGATACAGTTACATCTCTGAGTTCCCTACATGAAAGCTCTACTTGCTTTCAGCGAGTTTTTTGGGTTTTGTTTGTTTGCTTGTTTTCCTTTAAGTACTGGGGTACATGTGCACAACGTGCAGGTTTGTTACATACATATACACGTGCCATGGTGGTTTCCTGCACCCATCAACTCATCATTTACATTAGGTATTTATCCTAATGCTATCTCTCCCCCAGCCCCTCACCTCCTGACATGCCCTGGTGTGTGATATTCCCTTCCCTGTGTCCATGTGTTCTCATTGTTCAACTCCCACTTATGAGTGAGAACATATGGTGTTTGGTTTCTCTGCTTGTGTTACTTTGTTGAGAATGATGGTTTCCCGTTACATCCATGTCCCTGCAAAGGACATGAACTCATCCTTTTTCATGGCTGCATAGTATTCCATGGTGTATATGTGCCATATTTTCTTTATCCAGTCTATCATTGATGGGCATCTGGGTTGGTTCCAAGACTTTGCTATTGTGAACAGTGCTTCAATAAACATACGGGTGCATGTGACTTTATTGTAGAATGATTTATAATCCTTTGGGTATATACCCAGTAACGGGATTGAGAAATGCAAATGAAAACCACAGTGAGATACCACCTCATGCCAGTTAGAATGGCAATCATTAGAAAGTCAGGAAACAACAGATGCTGGAGTGGATGTGGAGAAATAGGAATGCTTTCACACTGTTGGTGGGAGTGTAAATTAGTTTCAGTGAGTTTTATAGTAATACAACCCTTGAAAATTCCCACCACTTCTCCTCCTGCTCCTTCTCTCCCTCCTTTTCTCCTCTCCCTCCTCCTTATTTTTAAAAATTTGATTGATACTGAAGATTTCAGACATTTCCAAAAGCAGACTATCTCTGACTTGGGATGGAAGGTGGCAGGGCCAGGGTTCAGAGGATGTAAGCGAGGCACTTGCTAGGGGCATGCAATTTATTACCAAAAATACTCAGTAATCCAGTTAGGAACTATGTAAATGCAATATATTTTAAAAATAATAATTAAAGTAAGACCTCCATGATGAACAAACTACCAAATTTTAGAGTAAACATGTGTTGTTGTTTGTTTGCTTTACAATCTCACATTACTGTGACACAAGAAGAGTCACCTCCAATCAACCCTGGCCTCATGGCTAAAGGGGCCATCAGGGTCCCACCAGTGGGTTTATGGAAGTTGACAAAGGAAGAGCCAGGAGCTTGGGCAAATGGCGCTTTCTATATATCAGGTTTTTTACTGTAGAACTTATATTACTGTTTTTATATGGCTATATACATATATTAAATGAGATCACATATACTAAAATGCTCTCTTAATATTCCAATATAAACAACATCATTATAGCCAATAAAATCAGTTTCATTTCTCTGATTAATTCAAGAATTTAACCCACAAATAGTTTGATCTTTGTGTATTGACCAGTTGTTTGAATATTTTCATAACCAATTATTTCTTCTTAACAGAATATATAAACTGTAATCTATTCAATGATGCTGGGGAGATGTTTTTGAACTTTTTCCCTTGGTACATTTGCATTTTCAATTTGTAAAATTCTTTGACTTTATTCTCTTTGGAGCATTCTGTTTCACTAGGTTTCATAAATGTTTTCTAATTTCTGAGAGAAAGGTTCTTGCACACCCAGGGTTCTCATTAATTGTTCTCATTTTGCTTAGTGTGTTTCTATCAGGATAAAAGAGGATACAGTAAAATGTGTTTCCACTGCTCGACAAAATCCCTGATAAAGAGAAACTTCTGCGGTAAACTACACCTTGTTCCACACATTCATTAAAATGTCTACTGATAGCTATTTTGCATTAACATATGTCACCAAAGACTAATTCAATAGTTGCTTAACCAGAACAAGCCTCCATTTCCAGAATCAACATTACCCTTTCCTCAATGGGAGGCTGTGAGCTGCTAAAGACTCATAGTAATTGACGTAAGTCTATACGTCAAGTCTAAATAGACTCAGAGTAAATTGCGTAGCGTTTGGTGAAATACGTTACTCAGGGTTCCTTTTCCAAACTGTAATGACTGTAATTCAGTTAGGCTTATTGCCTGTTATTCAAGATGATACTACTGTAAAACTGGTCCTTTTTCATTACAAACTTCAGAGTTAAAGAATCTGCTTTTTTTCTTAAAGACGCCCTCTATTATAGGAACAGGATTTCATATATTTAAAAACTTTTTCCACTGTTTACTTTACCACTGGGGTCAGATAAAGGAGCGAGATTCAGAATTAGTCTCTTGACCTTGCATGGGGGAAGTGAAGAGAGACAGAAACCCCAGAGGAAATTCACTGTGGATTTATTTGTATTTCCCTAGTGCAGAAATTACAGGAAGATTAGCAGTGTTAAGAGAACTTGTGGAAAGAGTAGAAGTGGTCATATTTGTAGTATTATTTTTATTCCTAAAATGCGCTACAAGTAATCCTGAAATATTTTGATACGGGGTATTTAAAGTAGCCTATGAATCAAATATTTTCAATCTCAAAGTTTTTCACCATTAAAAAAAAAAAAAAACTTTTCCCAGGCTGAGCTAACCAAAAGGAGTTTATGTATAGTTCCCTTATCTAACTGTGAAAAATACCTACATATATGGTCTATTTTTAGATTAAAAAACAATTATACAGGTTCAAGGAATTTTCATGCAAGTTAAAAAAAGAATCAGATCTGAGTAGATATGATTCACAGGATGGGTTGGTGTTATCTCTGCAACTGTAGACAAATTACTAAAACTCAGTCTTGTACATCAGAGGATTTTTGTAAATGAGTTAGTACAGATAAAGTACTTAGGATAGTCCCTGGTACATTGCAGGTATCAAAAAAAAGTTAGCTACTTTACTTTTATTATTATTACCATTATGATTATTACTATTTGGAATAACATTGGAAGTTTGTCTATCCTATGAAGTCCACTTCAGTTTTCATCTCCATAGAACTCTCAATGATAGTGGATTATTTTCCATTAATTTGGTGACCATAGTATACAATTTAACACATGATTATATAGCTAATTCTCTTACTATGACATCTTACCTGTGAAAATCTTATAGATGTAAACAGACTGCAGCTTCTTCTACTTAGTGGAAGCTCTGGGAATGCCCCCTCGAACTTCCCTAAGCTGGGAATACTCTTCTGGGTACACACACAGACATATGCATGCACCACTGTGTGTACCCCTAACTAATGTGCTTAATGTAGAGAAGTTGAGATGATGCCTTGTGCTTTTAGTATCCCTTACAGTGCATAGTGCCCATTAAAGCCTTAAGAAATATCACATTCAGTTTAGATTTGACAACATTAGGACCAACACTATTAGTACATATCATTACAGGATCTTGTCATTTAGACCTAATATATGAATTTATACAAAACACTTAGAATATTAAAGAATAAATGTCTTGGGAGGCCAAGGCAGGTGGATCACCTGAGGTCAGGAGTTCGAGACTAGCCTGACCAACATAAAGACACTCTATCTCTACTAAAAATACAAAATTAGCTTGGAGTTGTGGAGCATGCCTGTAATCCCAGTTACTCTGGAGGCTGAGTCAGGAGAATCGCTTGAACCCGGGAGGCAGAGGTTGTGGTGAGCCGAGATTGCACCACTGGACTCCAGCGTGGGTAACAAGAGCAAAACTCTGTGTTAAAAAAAAAAAAGAAGAAGAGAAGGAAGGAGAAGGAGAAGGAGAATAAGGAGGAGGAGGAAGAGGAGAGGAGGAGGAGGAGGAGAAGGAGGAGGAGGCAGAAGAAGAAGAGAAAGAAGAAGAGGAAGAAGAAGAAGACGAAGAAGAAGAAGGAGGAGGAGGAAGAAGAAGAGAAAGAAGAAGAGGAAGAAGAAGAAGAGGAAGAAGAAGGAGAAGGAGGAGAAGGAGAAGGGGAAGGGGAAGAGGAAGAGGAAGAAGAAGAAGAAGAAGAAGAAGAAGAAGAAGAAGAAGAAGAAGGAGAAGAAGAAGGAGAAGAAGAAGAAGAAGAAAAGAAGAAGAAGAAGAAAAGAAGAAGAAGAAGAAGAAGAAGAAGAAGAAGAAGAAGAAGAAGAAGAAGAAAAAGAAAGAAAGAAAGAAAGAAAGAAAGAAAGAAAGAAAGAAAGAAAGAAAGAAAGAAAGAAAGAGAAAGAAAGAAGAAGAAATGCCAAGAGCAACAGTCTTCCAAAATTGGTTAGGAAATGTCCACATTGTCCACATGTCACCTTGTCATTATTACTACTGAGCAATGGAAGCCTTAAACTGTCTGTTGCTTTAATATTCTGATATTCCTATTATTTGGGTTTCTCTAACATAGTATCCAGTTGACTTAGCTCAAGTCACTTATTCTGAAGTTGCCATGAACTCAAATGGAATGGAATTTCACACTGAACCAAAGAGCCCCATTGTAACTGCCCCTTGACATTTGCACTTTGTGTACAAGCACATTTTAGTTCTATTTTCATGGCAAAAATCAGTCAACTTCACATGGCACTTCAGTCATCTTGTTAAAAGTGATACATTACATTAGTTTGTTGAATTTATCGGATGTAAATCAATTTGACTTGTTTCTTTATCTTCACCACAGTAAATAAACTAATTCTTTTTCCTTTTGACCACACTTCCCTTCTGCTCGCCTAACCCCAGCTGACATCACCAGGCACAGGCATCAGGTTTGGAAAAACTTGGGCTCAGATTATTCATCTACCACTCACTAGCTCTGTTTTCTGAAATACATTTGTGAGTATCTGCTTCACAAATTGGTTATGAGTATTTGGTGAGATACAGAACGTTAAGCAGATAGCACAGTACCTAGCATGTTACAAGCCTCCATGACCAAGAAAAGAAATTGCTTTCCAACATGAAAAAAATAAGCTAATTTAGGTGGTGGGTAGTTGGAGGACATTGTTGATGGTTGTGGAACACATTGGCATAGATCTGAGGACAGTTATGGGGAAGACAATTACAGAAAATAGTGTAGAGAAATCCATATAATGTTACTTTTTTAAGTGGAGCAAAAAATTAAAGAATCAAAAAAATGTAAAGACCAAAACGTGTATCGTGGGCAAATAACTTTAAGTTAGAAGTGAGTCCTGGGTGCATAACTGCCTCATAGAGATAATCCATCCAGGCCCACAGTGGCAGTACTGAGTTAATGGATTGCATTATCCAAAGCAACAGTTTCAATGTTTCCTGCTCCTGATGGAAGAGAAGAATGAGCTCTTATTTCCGGATATAAAAGCACTCCAGCCTTCTGAGACCAAGATACATCTTTGAAGTATCATATTTTATTTTCAAAATTCAGGCATATTTTATATGCTATTCTATAATATATCTGTGTTAATCTTAAAGTTTTTTTAAACAAAACTTGGGGCATGTTAAAAGCTCCAGGAACTCCAGAAAGTCAGTCCCCTAGTTTTGCAAATCCCTTGTCATGCTGCTCTCTACTTCAGGATGGGATTCAATTGCACCAGTCCAAGGGGCAAAGAGAGACCCCCAGTATTGCAGATAATATTAGGTTGCCACAAAAGAAATTGCAGTTTTTGCCATTAAAAGTAATGACCAAAACCGCAATAACTTTTGCATCGACCTAATAAAAGCGTTCATAAAGAAATAAGTCTCTATTTGAGGTCTTCTGCAAGTTCCTTCAAGGAAGACATTTCTTTTTTAAGTTTATTTTTTCTTTTTATAGATTTTAGAGGGTACAAATGCATCTTGTTACATGGATATATTTTGTTGCAACGAAGTCTGTGCTTTTAGCCTAGCTACCACCCAAATAGTGTCATTGGACCCCTTAAGTAATTTCTCGTCTCTTGTCTCCATCTCACCCTTCCGCCTTTCTAAGTCTTCAGTGTCTATTATTCCACTCTCATTTTCCACGTGTACACATTATTTAGCTCCTGCTTATAAGAGAGAACATGTGGTATTTGACTTTCTAGTTTTGAGTTACTTCACTTAAGATAATGACCTCTAATTCTATCCATGTTGCTGCAAAAGACATGATTTTATTTTTTATGGATGAGTAGTATTCCATGGTGTATGTGTGTGTGTGTTTGTGTGTGTGTGTATCACATTTTCTTTATTCAGTCATCTGTTGATGGACACTTGGGTTGATTCAATATCTTTGCAATTGTGAATAGTGCTGTGATAGACATATAGGTGCAGGTATCTTTTTTATATGATTTATTTTTCTTTGGGTAGATACCCAGTCATGGGATTTTTGGATCAAATGATGGTTATGAACTTTTACTTCTTTGAGAAATCTATGTCCTGTTTTCCATAGAGGTTGTACTAATTGACATGCTCACCAACAGTGTGTGAGCATTTCCAGCATACACTTTTTTAAAGGTGGTCCTTTATATATATAAATATATATATATATAATATATGTAATATATATAATATACTCCTGAAATAGTTCTGGACAGTTTGGATCAACTCAAAATTACCCATGGATTAGACTGAAGTTAGGGAAAGGGATGACATGCTCACAAAATAAGTTCTCTAAAAGTGTGTCGACCGTTGACAACTATGCCTACAAGCAACTGTGGGTCAACACGTTTCTTTGGATGAAATTGATGTATCTCTTTGGACTACTCAGAAGATAGAAGCAACTCTGCCTAACACATGGTGTGAATACCACTGGTACACCTTCCGGCTATACTGGTAGCTGTTCACTTCTTAGAAAATTAGGTTGTTCGGCCAGGGACGGCAGCTCATGCCTGTAATCCCAGACTTTGGGAGGCCAAGGTGGGTGGATCACCTGAGGTTGGGAGTTTGAGACCAGCCTGACCAACATGGAGAAACCCCGTCTCTACTAAAAAAAAAAAAAAAAAAAAAAAAAAAAAAAAAAAAAACAAAAAACAAAATTAGCCAGGTGTGGTGGCACATGCCTGTAATCCCATCTACTGAGGAGGCTGAGGCAGGAGAATCACTTGAACCCGGGAGGAGGAGGTTGTGGTGAGCCATTGCACTTCAGCCTGGGCGACAAGAACAAAACTCCATCTAAATAAATAAATAAATAAATAAATAAATAAATAAGAAAATTATGTTGTTCCTTAGTGAAACTAATGAGAAAAAATACTCCTTTTTTGACAGTTGACAGACTTATATATCCAAAAATACCAGTCAAAACCTATGCCTAATTATTTTATAAATTATGTTGTGCTATCACAGACTTCTCTTGGAGTCAAGCATTTCCAAGCATTTTCACTCCTCCCCAGCCTGAGGCTGAGGGAAACACACCAACTGCCACCAGTCTTGTCTTGTTCATCCACCCTCACTCTTGTGGGGGGGTCGTGTTTATCTCCTCATTGGTGGGTGGTCCCTCTCAGTCTGCCTTGGATTAATATAATAGGACACCCAGTTTAATTCCCATGATATATGAAGATATTTCTTAAAATGCTATCTTCCAGGAAGGTGAGGGTGTGAATCTCCAACATGCATTTTGCCTGTATTCTTCCTGCCAAAACAAAAGGGAAAATCATTTTTTAACAGCTAGAATTATTTTTTATTTTCTAAATGACATATTATAAGCAATTTTTGTGTGTTAAGAATATAAACTTCTTCTTGAGCCCTGGATATAGAATTCATCCTTGAAAATGCTTAGCACTAGAGAGTACTACTAGACCTGCCTTAATGACCATCTACGAATCACCCCTTCCTCACACTCACACAAACACACGTGCACACGTGCACGTGTAATCACTGCCATGGAATTCCCCTATTTCCAGTCTGATGCTTCTATTTCCTGTAGTAGAACAGATAATTTATTTCATTCACTAATAGAGGACCTAAAATACAAACGCCCTTGGAAGAGATAATAATTGGCCTAAAATCCTAAAATCACACTGAAGACTGAATGATAATAATAGGTCTTCTCTCTGCCCACGTGTAACAGTTATCATGCTTTGGACTGCAGTTAACAGAAAACCTGACTCAGCCAGATCAAACAAGGAAATAGGGAAAATGTTTCATCTCATACAACAAGACATCCAGAGATAGGGAGGTTCCAGAAATTGGTTAGGTTGGGAGCTGAGCAATGTCAAACAAGAACAAAGTTCTTTCTGTCCCCCTGCTCTTTCATCCTCAGTGTGCTCATCTTCACCCGCAGGCTTGCCTCCTCATTGTCAGACAAACTGCTGCAGAAACTCACATGGTCAAACAACAATTTCAAATTTCAGAAAGGGATAGCAGGGCTCATTCCTTCCATGGTTCCCCTTTTAAGGGTGAAGAAACTTTCAGGAAAGCCCTCCCATATTCGCTTTGGATTTTATTGGCTGGAATTATACCATTGACCCATCTTAAACCAACCATCTACTAGGAGAATGGAGTTGCCATGATTATCCTTGACCAGTGGTTCTCAAACCTGGAGAATGCATCACAGTAGCCTGGAGGGTTTACTAAAACACAGGTTGTGGTCCCTACCCCTTGGGTTACCAATTCAGTAGATCTGCAATGATGTTCATAGGTTTACATCATGAGATGTTGATAATGCAAATTTAAGGAACCACAGTTTGAGAACCACTATATTAGACCTGTTGATACAAACCTGCTGGAGCTGGTAAGATTCCCACTTTCCCTGAAATATGTGGTCACCTGAGGCCTGAGCAGAATCAGGCTTCCTTTAGCAAGGAAGAAGAGGGAAGTAGCTTTCGGGTATTTGGGTAAATGTTCCCAGGAGATATTGATTAAAAGAGGCAACTTACCATGAGAGAAAAATATCAGACTGGAGTCCAAAAAATCACATACAGTCAAAGCTTTAACAAGAATTCATGGAATATTGATACAATAATGCAGGCATTCACTAAGGTCTCCAATTTCCTTGGAGCAGAGAACTCCTTCATCCTCATTCTCTGACGTTTGCTGAGGCCCTAGACTGCTTAGTTAAATTCCATGCCACTTAGTGCCTGTGGGAAATGCATTTTTGGAATATCTAAAATCTTTTCCTACCTTTTGCTATTCTCATGGATGACGGTGCCAATTTTACTCTTCTCTGACCCAATTCTAGAGGCTCATGGAAACTCCAGGAGATTATTTCAGACCCCTCTACCTAATACATACTGAACACATTTCTGTCTCTCTCTAGGTTCTTTTGGATAGCCTGGTCTCTATTCAAAAAGGGTGCAAAGATTGTTTCTGTTCTCAGATCTTCAAATCTGTCATGGGATTCTGTTATCTACTACTCCGCCCATCGTGAATTTGGCCAAGCCCAGAAGAACGGGCACAAAAACTGGGTGATATGGTTTGGCTCTGTGTCCCCACCCAAATCTCATCTCTAATTGTAATCTCCATAATCTGCATGTATCAAGGGAGGGATCAGGTGGAAGTTAGATCATGGGGGTGGTTTCCCACATGCTGTTCTGACAGTAAATGAGTTCTCATGAGATCTGATAGTTTTATAAGCATTTGGTAGTTCCTCTCTTGTTCACTGTCTCTCCTGCCACCATGTGAGAAGGTCCAAGCGTGCTTCCCCTTTGCCTTCCACCATGATTGTAAGTTTCCTGAGGGCTCCCCAGCTATGTGGAACTGTGAGTCAATTAAACCTGTTTTCTTTATAAATTATGCCATCTCAAGTATGTCTTTATAGCAGTGTGAAAACAGACTAATATACTGGGCTTTTAAGTTCTCTTTCTCCTTGGATTTTCTCTCCTTCTTTCCTTCCTGGGAAGCCTTTAATCAGTCAGAAAAAATAAAGACCACTTTTTCAATTCTTTTCATCTTATGGCTGGATCTATATTTTGAAACTCAAAATGTAGTCATTTGATATTTTTATATCTGCTGTTTTTCTGTGTAGCAAACTTTTCTATAGTAAACAGGGCATAGAAGAAAACAGCAGAAACATAAAACAGATACATAAAACATGTAAAAGTTGTGCCATAATAATAAAATTTATAACTATGGCCTGTTTCTTGATCCCCAAGGAAGCATTCTTTCAATATGCCATACCGTGGTCTTCCTAATATATTTTGGAGAGCATTGAGCCTAGAGTTTCTGATTCACCATTGGAAAAATATTGGTAAGGAGAAAAAGGAGAAACTTTCAGTCAAGACCTGTACAAAATTTTTACTTCACTTCGCCATAACACATTAGCACTTTTTGATACCTCAGCTTTCAGAAAAAGTCTTAGGGCCCAGAGATAGGATGGATCCAGGAGTCCACTCTGTACTTTGGTCCTTGACTGAAGGTGATTCATGGTGAAGAGGACATCAATAGGTCTCAGAATGAGTTGTAATATGGGTTCTGATAGATTTGGTTGGGATTGTACGAGTCTGATAAATTTTCATGCAGGAAGGCCAAGGAGTTTTGTAGCAGCTTAGCATAAGTTGAAGCTTTAGATATTTCCTGCTTGATTGATTAAAATGACAATGATCTCAATATGCCAGGAGCATTTCATTTGTCATACATAGTATCCTAAAAATGTCTTTATGGTCCTAAGTAGGAATATAAGCAATTGATGAGAAAATTATGAAAGTGGGCCAATTAGAATGGGTAGATACGTATATTAAACGAGATCACATATACTAAAATGCCATATGACTATTCCAGTATAAACAATTAACATCATTATAGCTATAAAATCAGTTTTTATTTCTCTGATTAATTCAATAATTGAAGCATTGGGGTTCAAATGAAAATTCAAGTTAGTAATATTGCCTTGTGCTCTATTTTGGATTATTATTATTTAAAACAACTCATATACTATGAAACATACAGCTTTAAAATTATTTCATAACCCTTATATAAATATAGTGATATTTTCTTATACAATTTCTTAAAGCAGATCGCTTTATAAGATACGCATATTCGTGAATACTATGTAATACTTCATTTCACTTTGTCATTCAATTTCACCTTCATACATATTTTTGATTAACATAGATAAATACTCTTTTACATATACAAATGCTACTAATGCTTCAAAACCAAGTAAACAGAGGGGAAATTATATATTTTTATTTTTAAAAGTCACATAGACTTGAACTTTAATAATGACTATCATCTATAATTCTTTAAAGGAATTTTTTTTTCAGATAGTTTAGAGAACTGTTTTGCACAATGGGCAAATCCAGACTTGAGCAAAGTATTACAAGTACAAAGGTTTGTGCATTTCCTTAAATGCTGACACTTCATCAAGAGCTTGCTACTGTCAAGGCAACCGGAGGTGGAAGAAAAAGTGAGACGGCAGGCAATTAATGAAACAATTCTAACATCGGCACAGATCATTTTCTATTGAATACTTTTTTAAAAGGCAAAAATGATATCCCTGACTAAATGACATGGATAATTACAACAATTATTAATCCTATTTTTAAGATAAATAGACACAAGGCAAGCTAAAATGCTTATCAATGGTTATTTAATGCCAAGGGTCTTTGAAACCAAAACACCTCAATCAGCTTCCCAAAACTCACCTAGCATTTGATAGAATAACAGGTAATGAGAATCAATAATAATTTAATTGTACATTTAAAAATAACTAAAAGACTATAATTGTATTGTTTGTAACATAAAGGATAAATGCTTGAGGGGATGGAAACTCCATTTTCCATAGTGTGATTATTACACATTGCATGCCTGTATCAAAATATCTCATGTACCCCATAAATATATACACCTACTCTGTATGTACCTGCAAAAACTGAAAAAAAAATTTAACTCGCCTAAAATTTCCATGTTTTTCATTAACCAAAAGACGTGCAGTTAAAGTGTTTCAAAGTAAAAAAAAAAAAAAACAGGAAAAAAAAGTAGAAAAATATATGTATTTATTTCCTTTTTTCCACTGCTAAGTTTAAAACACCTATCCCCTCCCCCAGCTGGGAATTTACTACAGAGGCCAACTGGTTAATTTATTTCATCTTTAGATCCTAAAGATGGCACGAGATTTCAAACAATACATTGACTTAAAAAGAAAACTTCATTATAACAAGTGTTTAAAAATGCTTTTCTGTATCAGTTGCCTAAAAATGATGAAGTGTTTATATTAATAAGATATCTCTCTGAGAATTATGTGTTTTCATTCTGGGAGCTTGGTATTCTCAGTTATTTTAATGTATTTTATAAAATAATATATAGGCCAAAAACAAAGAAAATTTGATCAATGTTAAAGCCAAAATCACTTAGAAATACCACCCAAATAAGATGCTAAGGTTTTTTTAATGGCAGGGTCTGGTTTTACAGCAAATGCTTTCTTTTAATATTTTATTTTTGGGGTATACTCTGAAGTTTTTGGAGACCCCAAAATATTAGGAAATCCTATCAACATACACTAGCTACTGTTCTCTCAAGGATATAAAATAATTAACTGAAGAAATGTCTTCTAAATACAAACATTTTCTGTAACATCCAGTAAAACAGAAAAGCAACGCGTACAAATTTGATACTCACGGTCAAGCTTTTTTTCTGTAGATTTCAAGATACTTCCTTTCATCAGAACAGTTCCCAAAATAAGTGTCATCTCCTACAAATCTGCTTCTAAACGCGATCTTTTGTTTCATCCATGCAGTATCGTTAACATTTCCAATACATTATTCTTCTTAAACAGCAGCTCTGCCTTCCAATTGTACTCTCACCACTGAATTGAAATATTCTACCACTCCCTTCCATAAAATGCTTGCCTTTTGATCATCTAGAGCAGCTCTCCCCCAAAAGAAATACAATATAGGTCACATATGTAATTTCATGTTTTCTAGTAGCCACATTAAAAGACAGCTTTATAAAGAAGTTAGAATTAATTTTTATAGTAGGTTTATTGAGATATAATTGATATGCCATAAAATTTACTTTTTTAAAGTGTACACTTCAGTGGGTTTTAGTATATTCAGAGTTGTGTAACCATCACCACTGCAATGGACTGAATGTTTATGTTCCTCCCACAGATTTCATATGTTGAAATCCTGACTCCCAGCCTGAGGGCATTACGAGGGGCTCTGGGAGGTGATTAGGTCATGAGGGTGGAGCCCTCATGAATGGGATTAGTGCCCTTATAAAAGAGGCATCAGAGAGATCGTTTGCTCCTTCTGCCATGTGAAAACATAGCAATGGATGACTATCAAGGTATAAGAAAGTGAGTAAGGCCATGTTGAATCCTCCAGCCCCAGGTGAACTGTCCCAGGTGACAGCAATGGAGGAGAGGGGCCTAGCTGTCTCAGCCATCCTACCTGGCACTTTGGACACTGTAGGGCAGAGCTAAGCCATTCCTGCTAAGCCCCTTTCAAATGCTTCACTTATAAAATAGCAACAACAACAACAAAATTGTTGTTTTAAGCCAGTAATTTTGGGATGTTTTGTACACAGCAATAAACAATGGATGCAGAAGTCGATGCAAAGAGGTGATGTGCTGTCATAACAAAATCTAGAATATGTGCCCTTGGCTTTAGGAGTGGGGAGCAGAGACACCAGAAAGCAGCAACGGACTGTTTCCTAGAGCCTGGAAAGGTAGTGAGAAAATTGCTTTGGAGGCTGGAAAAACAACAACCCGTGTTATGTAGTGGCAGAAAAATTAGTGAAACTGCTGCCCACATTAACTTAGACAGGAAAGGTATCCTAAAATCTGTACATTTGGATAAAAGGATTCCAAGAAGGATGGTAAAAGTGTCATTTGTCTTCTTTTAGCTGAATATAAGGTATTGTAAGACAGAAATAAGGCTAAAGAAGGAACTGCTTAGGGTCCTTTTTAAAATCAGAATTTAATGGGAATATAGAATGCTCAGAAAGTCTCTTCAGTTAGCAAAAGACCTTCAAGGAAAGAAACAAATAGAAGCCTGCCAATAAAACTTGGCCTTGGGGTCAATATTAAATCAAAGATGAAGCTGGAAGTTCTCTTATAAAGACCTCAGAGTGACCTAAGTCAGTGATTCATAGTTGCTCTTGTCTGGACAAAAGGCTTCTAAGAATCTTAAGGGCATTATCGCATGTCATCCCAGCTCACAGCCAATGTAAGGAAGTGCCTGTCTAGAAGAGGTTTATGACCATAATTGTGACACTTATAATTATGTTTGTGACAAATAATCTAACATATCTGATCATAATTTGATATATAGGAAGTCCACAACATTTTAAAGGAGATTTTTAGTGGATAAACTAAGAAACAACAAGAAGGTTCCATGAAAGATGAATATAAGGGCATTAAAATATTTATGTGTAAACATTTTAATTTACTAAACTAACATAGCAGATAAAGTCACATAATCAAATGTGGAGACATATTACAAATATACTTTTCCCTGTTTTGAAGTTTCTAAGAAATATCTTCTGTCCCTCATAAATAATTATTTAAACATTTATTAAATTAAATATGAAAATTCTATGCATATTTAATAGCTGTGTGTACACATCTGCATGTATCTATCTATCTATCTATCTATCTATATATATATATGTATATTTATGTCTGCACCTGAGTTAGCCTATCTTTTGTTATTATGAAACTATCAGCTGGGTGAGAGAGTAGGAGGAGGGTGGATGACAAAAGATTACTTTAGGGGAACAATGTACATTATTTGGGTGATGGAAACCCTAAAAGCCTCGACTTTACCACCATGCAACCTATGCCTGTAGCAAAATTACACTGGTACCTCATACATTTATACAAATAAAAATAAATAAATAAATACAAGCTAAAAGAAGAAAGAAAATATAAGCTCTTTGATAATAGTAAGAAAATAATCGACCTATTTGGAATGAAGACTTCATTTATACAAAGCATATTAGTGGTTCCATACTAACAAGTTAACATAACGACACTGTTTCTTTCTCTGACTGCTGTAACTTGCTATATTAGCGACTAGTCATCATTTAAAAGACTATGTAGTGACACCAGGTAAACAGAAAGTAAAAAGTTGATATAAAGGTCAGCCATTATGAGCATTACCTGTTGAGCCATTTGTGGTTTATTCTCAATAGTGTCAACACAGAACTGGAATGTTATGCTTACAACATGATCCCCTATCTGTCATCTATTTGACATAGACATGCTGGTTTTAAATAATACCTTGAGCTTTACTTAAAAAAAAAAAACCAAAAATTTCAATGACCATGTCTAATTTCCAAAATGGTATTTCTATTCATTTGACAATTCCCTTCAGATAATCTGATCAAGATAACTACATAACAGCATTTTAAATTTCCAAGGTACAAACATACCTCCTTCAGCTTCACTTGTTTATGTACTTATGATATTCACACACATATTAAATGATCTTATAAGGCAGTTTATTTATATTCTTGTTATCCATGAATACACATATTACATGGAAGTGCTGAACCCTGTCCTTTGGATTCAGTAACAGGGAAGTTTCAATCTGCATTGTTCAGTTTCTGTAAGTTTCTGTAGTTTGTGAATGGAGTGGGGGGCACCTCCATGTTTGCAAATGCACACATTTGTGAAAAGGAGAAAGTGATTAGGGGAATGAAGAAGAAATATTTTCTACTAGGAGGCTGTTATACTTTACTTTTTAAGCTATTCCAGCCATATTGGACTCAAATCAGTTCCAACTTTTGAAGTTCATCATCATTCATCTCCCTAGGGGATATGAAAGTGCCAGCATTTGTTAAATTCCTTTTTGTGTGATGCCACTGCTGTTCCCTTATTCGATTCTATTGCCTGTCAGAAACATTTTGTAAGCTAATTGGAACACCCTGTTATTCTAAATCAACTGAAACTTCTCAGTTTATATTTCAATTCCATTTCTAGGCAAGCCTCTGCTAGCCCCTGGTTTCCTTCTCTTCTAGGAACACATGATTTTCTCTTCCTGAAGCATGGGACCGATATTGTAGCTTACCCTCCAGGGCAGGATAATTTGCTCATTGTGGATTAGTTGCCTTCAGCAGGTAAGTCTCACCTGGGTCACATCCTTTAAGGGTATATCCATGGATAGAATTGCCTGAAAACTTTCACTGGAATGTGCAAAATTCTGCCCTGGCTTGTCTTGCTTTATGTTGCACTTTCTTTCCAGAGCTAATTTTCACTCAAAAGCCAACACTATTATTAGTGAATCTGAAACTTCTTTGCTTTTTATTTCATTCTTTTTAGTTTTTCTCGTCGTCAGACAAGTTGTGCCCAGAGGAAAGTAGACTGTCATTATAGAAATCTTTGACCCCATTATTGCACAAAATCTCTAAAGAAGTTTGACTTAATCTGTCCAGCCTAATTTCTACATTTGGTGAATAAACTGGATAATTAATAAATAAGTGTGTATGGTGGGATAGGAGGAGTGTTTTGGTGTGGCATAGAATGTACCTTAAAGAAGACACCCAACAAAATATAAAGTATTTGCCCATCTATTGTCCAGCTTAATATCATTTACTCCATATGGGGACTAAAGTTTATTGTAGAGAATTTGTTGCAGTCTAGCACATCTTGGCATTGAAAAACATTATCTTTTAATCAATAATAGCAGTAAGAAATTGGTATTATTATAAATGCCCCCTCTTCATATTTAGTTAATAATGTTTACCTTGAAGTCCATGGTATATTGAAGCACATACATAAACTCTGCTTATGGCTTCAGGAGATACATGAATTGCTTGAAATTAAATGCATATGTTTGCACATATGTGCATTTTGGGGGGAAAAGTTGTCAAAGTTCTTATGCTATTCTCAAAAGAAACTCTGACTCTTCCAAAATATAATAATAACTCATACTTTAGGTTAACTGTTTTTTGAAAGATATTGAAAATATAGATGCAACATGATAGTTTAAAAATGATTAAAGATCATACTGGGTTTTCCTTTTTATTAACTCTACATAATGGTCTGTGGCTTTGCCTCCATATTAATTTCCCATATTCATTCATCATTTAATCATCACAAAGAATCATTATACAACTGAATCTTATGTGCCGTGCTTTTTTTTTAGACGGAGTCTTGCTCTGTTGTCCTGTTGAAGTTGCTGTATTTTTCCTCTATCCTGATTAGACTCTGATATGGTTAGGCTTTGTGTTCCCACCCAAAATCTCATCTTGAATTGTAATCCAAAAGTAATCTCCACATGTTGGGGATGGGACCTCGTGGGAGGTGATTAGATCGTGAGGGTCGTTCCCCCATAGCTGTTCTTGTGATGGTGAGTGAGTTTTCATGAGATCTGATGGTTTCATAAGGGATTTTTTTCCCCTTTGCTCTGCACTCATTCTCTTTCCTGCTGCCCTATGAAGAGGTGCCTTCCACCATGATTATAAGTTTCCTGAGGCCTCCCCAGCCATGCAGAACTGTGAATCATTTAAACCTGTTTTCTTTATAAATTACACAGTCTCGGGTATTTCTTCATAGCAGCATGAGAACAGACTTATAAAGACCCAGGCCCAGTTTTGTCTGGGTTTGGTTATAAAAGACATTGTAGCTTCCATCTAGTCACACATTCTCTGATCACTGGCTGGTAGGGAAGTTAGCTGCCATGACCTGAGCAGCAATTCCAGAGGGCCACGTACTGAGGCGCCAAAGCCTCCAGTCAACAGCCACATGAGGGTGCTTGGGAGTGCATCCTCCAGCCCAGTCAAGCCTTCACATGAGACAGCAGCCCCAGCTGACATCTTGACTGCAGCCACTTGAGAACCCCTGACCCAGAACCACAGAGCTAAGCTGCTCACAGATTCCTGACATCTGAAACTAAAGTAGACAATAAAAATTTGAGGTTTTAAGCCACTAAATTTTGGGATAATTTATTATATAGCAATAAATAACTAACCCACTTGGCTTAAGGCTTTTTAAAAGCAAATCACATTATTTTTAATACATGATCTTTACAATGAAATTTGTCATCTAGAATTTTGATAAGTCAATAGAACACATTTATTCCACAACATGGTAAAATTGTGACTTGGGAAGCATATGGAACACAATGTAAAGATCACAGGCTCTGTGAAATCACTATCAAAGTGTGGCTAGGGGACAGTTGTTTTACCCCTCTGAGCTTTAGTCTCTCAAAATGTGAGTAATGCCATCTACCTCAAGCAGCCATTGGTGTGAATTAAATTGATTAATGAAGGTAAAGAACTTAATAAGGTGTTTGGCAAATACTAGACACCCTTAAAATTGATGCAACAAAACTCTAATTCACATTAAAAAACAGAGCAATTCATTGCAGTATGCTTAAAAATAATTACATCTGAAGCATATATTCTTGTGGATTCACCTTCCAGGCATGTTATTCCAAGAACCTAATCCCTGCACTCTGTTAACTGCTGCTTTATTTCACTATTATTCCCACTAGACAGTTAGCTTCATTAGAACGGATATTACATTCCTCTATTCATGATTACAGCCTCGACACCTACAACAATATCTAACATATGATAACCTAATAATACTAGCTGTTAAATAAATGAGGGCTCTATGACATAGAACAATATTCCTGAAGAAATTTTAATGACAACTATTCATGGAACTGAATTTAAAATATCTCAGCTTTAAAAATATTTGTAATATGGCTGGACACAGTGGCTCACACCTGTAATCCCAGCACTTTGGGAGGCCAAGGCAGGAGGATCACTTGAGGTCAGGAGTTCAAGATCAATATGGCCAACATGGTGAAACCCTATCTCTCCTAAAAGTACAAAAGTTGGTGTGGTGGAGCATGCCTGTAGTCTCAGCTACTCAAGAGGCTGAAGCAGGAGAATCACTTAAACTGGGGAGGCGGAGGCTGCAGTGAGCTGAGATTGCACCACTGCACTCCAGCCTGAGTGACAGGGCAAGACTCCATCTCTCTCTCTCTCTATATATATATGTGTGTGTGTGTGTGTGTGTGTGTGTGTGTGTGTGTGTGTGTAATACCATCATATTCTGTAATTAATAGTGAATGCTGCTAAAAGTATACTTTATAATCATTATGGTATTAAAATGCAAGAATACTATGTCCTTTAAGAGTGTCAGACTTCTTTCCATAATAAGCAACAATTTAAGAAACTTTCTGTGGTATACTGTTCACATTTTTAAATTCTTTAGCCCTTGAAAACGAAGTTGGGCATTTTTCTAATCAATAACTTTTGTTGCAATAATTACTGATACTTATAACATAATACCTTTTTAAGTTGAAAATTTCTTTTTTCACCGCTGGTTATGAAGTATGTGGCTAATGATGTCACCTCTTTCATCACATGGAATTTAACACATTCAAAGTCAAGGACAATGTGTTCCATATTTTTAATGAAATGAGGGTGTCTTCATTAAAAGGCAAATCCTTCATTTCAAAAATCTGAATGATTCTTAAAATAGAATGCCAGGTGGCTAAATTTAGGTGCTGAAGAAAGTCTAATTCAGGAAGGCTTTCTGGCACCATTCCCAAAACTTTTTCATTTGATTATGGATTGAATATATTTTCATTCATTTCAAACTCTTGCCTCTCTGTATGTTATTCTGAGTTAGGCAAACTAATGTTGGTGGGCAAACTGGCCTCAAAAAACTATGCCACTCTGCTTAAATGATCTATTTGTTGACATACTGAAAAGATGGCCTTATGCTTTATAGTTATCAAGGTCACATGTGTCCCTGGTAAATTGTACATAGGTGCTGTGCTTCATAATAAATGGAGATCCCTGAATTACAACAGGTAAGCCACAATCCGCAGAGACTGTAATGGCTGGGAAGTACAAACCACATAGACCTCTCGGCTATGCCTTGATAAGTCTTTCAGTTCTTGTTTTTATTTTTCTTTTGTTGATTTTGTTTTTGCCATGTTTGTCTTACTTTTTTAAATATTTCTTGTGCATCTTCATCCTAGCTTAGCTTAAATATAATTGTTAAATGAAGTTTACTTTTTTACTAGTCCTCACCATAAATTCATGGATCATTTTATTATTCAGACTTTTTCTTTTTTTCAAAAAAAAAAACACCATTTCTTCTTATTTTTGTACAAATTTGGGCATAGTCAGAAACTCTGCTGACTCTCTCTTCCCATTTAACCTAATCTTACCATAGCACTCCTCACCCTATGACTTGCCCATTGCAGTAAACCAGAAAGCAAAAAAAGGTCAAGCACGTGTGTTTGAGATCCAACTCTAGTGTTTGTAGCAGCTCTGCAGAACCACAGTTTGCACATCTGTAAATTGTGCAATAACAACTGCCCTGCCTGTTTCACAGGGTTGCTTAAAGAGTTATATGAGCTATTGCATGTGAAAGTGTTCCATAAGCTGCCATTTGCTCTGAAGCTCACGGGTATAATTATTCTAGTCTAACCTACTTATGTTTGCCCTCTTTTCTGCAGTTGCATCTTTGTGCATAAAGATTCTCTCTCCAACCTGTGCAATTGATTCATCTTTAAAGACCAACTCAAATTCGACCTTCTAAAAGAAATCTTCTCTGACCTTCCAACTCTAAACTAGAGTAATTTACTAACTGTATTTATCACTTTCAAATTCTTCATTAGGTCTTGAATCATAGAATATTGTTACCCATTGGCATTTATCATCCCTGCCAACAAGACAGTGGGTTCCATGTGTTAGACTTCGTGTCCCATTGCTCCTTGCATCTCAAATGCACATCCCCCAGGTCTCTTGCACATGTCTGTGTGAGGGGCAGAAACACACTGTATGTTCATTTCGCTTAGCTCTTCCTCTCACCACTGCTAGCTTCTCCCTGGACACCATGACTGATGATCCTCTTTCCCTCTCCCTCTCCAAGACTTGTGATATGAGACACATCCTTGTGACACATGCAAATATTGAGAATTAACTTCAGTAATTTAAAATCTTTAATGTAAAGTTTCTGTTAAAATATTTATGTTAAATATAAAACTCTAAATTTCTAAGTTAAATTTGTAATTTTTATTTTTCAGAATTTATCTATATCTACTCAAAATGAATTACTCTAGACAATGATCAAAAAAGAATACATTTTCCCATAGAACTGATGAACTGAATTATGTTTTTAAAAAACAGGCCCAGGCACAACTTGAAAGACAAACCCTAATCCAAACTTAGGTGGAGATTCTGCTAAAAAGTGTTTACCAACAAATGCAGTTGATTTTCAGGTCCTTAAAATATTTTTCAAGCCAAATATTTGATTGACATTGACGGAGAATGTAGCTTACTCTACCAAAGCGTTAGCATCAGATAGAGCTCCACTTAGACTGTGAGTGAAGAGGTTGAGAAGGATGGCAGTTTGCTGAAGTTTGACAATGTTGTCCTAGGATTCATCTTCCTTTATTCACTTTTAAATAGTTAACTGACAATAGACCTAGGTGTAATCACATCATGAAAAATTAAAAAAAAAACTTGCCACTGAGTTATTAATTATCTTCTAAGCATCTATTTTGTAGCCAAAGAAAACTGTTACAATAACTTTTTGACATTTTTGTAAACATCTTCTGAACAAACCTGTTGATTTTGCCACTCAAGAATTGAACAAGGCCAGGCGCAGTGGCTCAAGCCTGTAATCCCAGCACTTTGGGAGGCCAAGGCAGGTGAATCATCTCAGCTCAGGAGTTAGATACCAGCCTGGGCAACATGGCGAAACCCAGTCTCTACCAAAAATACAAAAAATTAGCCAGGCCTGGTGGCACACACCTGTAGTCCCAGCTATACAGAAGGCTGAGGTGGGAGGATCACTTGAACCTGGGAGGCAGAGGTTGCAGTGAGCCGAGATCATGCTACTGCACTCCAACCTAGGTGACAGAGTGAGACTCCATCTCAAAAGAAACAAAATGACAACAACAAAAAACTTACTCCCCACTACAAACTTAAAATATTATCTTTGAGAAAAATTAAAAAAAAAAGAATTGAACAAGCACACTATACTTCACCTTCTTGGTGTAAGATCTCTTGCTAATCACAAAATTATGCAAGTTATTTTTGATAGTAATTTATCTATCTGCTCCTCAAATTATATGTTCTCAAAATATTCCATTAACATAAGTTTGTATAAAGTGCCTTGTTCAAGTTTGCACAATCCAAGCAAAGTTCACAAAACACTTTACAAACTTTGTTTAATTAAACACAATACCACACCTTTGCTTTAAATGTAACAATCGTAATTTCTTGCAGACAATTTTTAATGAGTTTGCACTTTGCTATACCCCTCATATATTTTCCTCTCCTTCCAGGCACAGGTGATGAAATTGTGATCAACATTATGAAATTGGATCACAATTATGTCTTTAATCAAAACAAACCAAGCCTTATGCCATAGGTGTGGAAATCCATTTTGCTATGCTATCCAATTGCAGTCGTATTTTGTAATCAGTGCTTTTGGCCAAACTCATGGTGTAAATTATCTGGAAAAATGAGAAGACGTGTTCTGTCTCATGCTGTTGTCAGGTATGTTTCATATTTAGGCATAAACAGTGAGAGAAATTAAAATTTCACAACAGTTGAGTCATTTCTGCCACTATGAACACTTGTAGTTTATTTGTAGTTTCTCATGATTTTTATTAATAGCAAAGCTGTTGTATGGTTTGGGATCATTTTTGCACTTAAATGATTACACTCTCACCATGTTGCCCATGCTTATTTCAGTCAGTACTAAGCAATAATTCAATTGCTTTTCCCAGAGAGCAACTCAAAGCTCACATACTGATTGAATAACCGTTCTGCAAAAAGCGAGGAGTTACATGGGGAAAATACCATAGTATAAGACATGATCACAAAGTTACTGATATCTTACGCATCTCACATCTAAAATGAAAGTTTCCCTATTTTAATTAATACCTACGAGGTGTAAGAGTTTGATACCCTAAATGCTCCCAACCGAGACATCCTTCTCAAAACTCTGTGCAGAGGTGTCTAAAAACCTATCAGAAAGCCAAATGTTTCTCTTTCCTTTACAATGACTTTGAGGAGATGATGTCTTAAGATGAATTTAGGATGATATCTAGCTAAGTGGAAGGAGTTCCTAACAGTCCAGCAGAATTTTCCAAGTTTCTACATTCAAGTACTTGAACATATTGGAGAGAAATCTCTACCACATGATAAAAACAACATGGAGAAAATGTTTTAAGGTTATGGTCAACTTAGCCATACCTATTTTTTCCAGCCTTTGTTTCCTACACTGATATATTGCTCTCTAAATCTTTGAGGAAAAGGTATTACATGAAATTAAAATAATTAATATCCATAAAATAATTATCAACATTTTAATTCAGCATATCCAACTGAAGTTCCCACGTGTGTAAATACATCTTCTGAACACCATTATGGAAATAGTCAATCACTGGTGCTGATATAAAAAAAAGATTGACATTTTATATGGATTTTTCTCCTACTTTATTCTGCAGCTCTTTCTAGTCTAGAAAATATATCTATTAGTACACAATCTTTTAAATTGCATTCTTAGTTTAATAATAATCACAAATTAATGGTGTGTAGTCACGTGTCCACTCTCTTGGAGGGAAATAACCATATGCTTCAATAACTAAAACTTCTAGTTCCACAAACTAATTAAAAGGCCTTGTGGCACAGTAATCAGAGAAACAGGTGTTTCATTTAGTTTCTCTCCCTTCAAGGTTGAATAGTTGCCATTCAAACTTCCCTGCGATTCCTTTAAAGTCAAAGGAAGTCACATAGTCCTATACTGCCTATCAGAGGACAATATCCTCCTGTCCCGCCCCAGGATTTGGCAGAATATAAATCAAGAAGAGAAAGAAAACAGTTTTATAGCACAATATGTTAAATTATGAGTGAGATTTTTCACAGCAGATTTTGGGAAATTTAGCTCCTCAAAAGAAAAAAAGTTCCAATCCTGTTTTCTTTTCTCTTTGATGTATTGTGTGTGTGTGTGTGTGTGTGTGTGTGTGTGTGTGTGTATGTGTGTGTATATGTATGTGTGTATGTATGTATGTGTGTCTATGTATATATGTGTGCACGTGTGTGTGTATATATATACACACACATATATGTATATACATAGGTTGATTCCATATCTTTGCTATTGTGAATAGTGCTGCAATAAACATACAAGAGCAAGTATCTTTTTGATGTAATGACTTATTTTCCTTTGGGTGTATGCCCAGGAGTGGGATTGCCAGATTTAATGGTAGTTCTATTTTTAGTTCTTTGAGAAATCTCCATACTTTTTTCCATAGAGGTTGAACTAATTTGCATTCCCTCCAACAATGTATAAGCCTTTCCTTTTCTCCACATCCTCACCAACATCTGTTGTTTTTGACTTTTCAGTAATAACCACTGTGACTGCTGTAAGATGGTACCTTATTGTGGTTTTATTTATATATATATATATATAAATTTATATATAATTTGTACATATACACATAAGTACACAGACACATATATATTAAAAACCCGAATACATATGTGTATATATACATATACACGCATATACATAGACATACACACATATATACACATATACACACACATATATACATATATGAAGAGATGTGGCCCTCTCTAAGAGATAGAGTCCATTCTTCTCCCAAATGTAATTGGCTAATCAAAACCACACCTCCTAAGACCTGTTCTTGTGAGTACAGGGTGCATTACATACGTTTTTATAATACACACAGCAACTTTGGAAGGCTTCAGCCTCATTCCTGCTATTATTTAAACTCTGACATATCGCAATAAAACATTTCAGCAGGCACTCCAGTTCAGGGAATGATAGGCATCAACACTGTATTGGTAATGCAAAATAAATGGATCGGGGTTGAAAATAATGAGTTTGGTGGATTACATCTGTCACCGTGAATTATTATTGTTGAACATAATAGGGCAAAGCGCTACAAAAATAAAGCTTGTCTTCTCTAGTTAAAGGTGAGACAACTACCTCTAATGAGATACAGAAATTCAAGTGTGAGTTATTAATTATGCACACAAAAGGTTTATCTGCTTGCTCAATCTTAATTTTTTATGTATATTACTACAGAACAAAAGGTCCCCGTTGCTAAAACTGGTGATAGTTCATAGTGCTTTCTTGCCAGAAACCAGAGAAGACATTAGGTTTGGCCACATTTGACCATGCATAAAGAATAAAAAGATAAAAACTTGGATATGTGGCGAGGCACCAGCAACAGCAGACCCTGATTCAGGCACTGATTCTTCCGCCAGCCTCCTCTGTCATAAAAGCTTCCTACTTCTGGAATTCAGGTTCATTGTCCGTAAAAGTAAGGCCTTGAACTGAACTGTCTTCAACTCCAGCTTCAAAACATTTCTGGACTCTACATAAAATGAGTATGTGTATCATTGGGTTATAATTGGGATAACTTGATAGCTTTTTTTTTGTAAGCAGAAAGCTTGAAGGAGAACTTATTTGAGTAATAATCTAAGTTGCTTCTCTTAATAAGGTCCCTGTTAGTGAGTAAAGAGGATGTCCACTGTTCAAAAGAAAGCCCTCAATAGAATATTTTATTTCTCTAGGCAATGTTGCCTAATCAGAGCCGAGGAAGCACTGCTAGGTGTGACTGTATCTTTTACAAAAATGTGATCACATTACTTTGTTTGCTTAGCAAATTGTTATAAACGTTACCATGTATTTAACAGTTCTGTAATATGACTACAATATGAAATTTTATATCCCATGACATGGTTTGTCATCATTTGTTGAACTTTTTTATTGTTAGACATTCAAATTTTTTCCAGTTTTCTAAATATCCCTAAAATGAATATCCTTGCACCTGCCTCTTTATGCATATATCTGATTCTTCCATTGAAATGGAATTGTAGGATTAGAATGTAATATTTTGTAATTTGCAACAAGAAAATGTAATTGTTGTTTTCTCCCTGGATGAGAAGAGTTCCTCTGGTACAATGCAGTTCTAGTATATGAATCTGCTGTGTGGACCTACTCAGAGGTGCATCAGAAAAGTTCAACAGCCATTGAAAAAGGACTGTGGTTTCTTAGAAATGAACCAGGTTGTAATGTTTATAAGGGAGCCAGAAAGTATTTGAAACATTTATGTACCAACTACAAATAACCAGTATTGAGGAGCTGTCAGAATGGCAGAAGAAATGCGCAGTGGCTCATGCCTGTAATCCCAGCACTTTGGGAGGCTGAAGCTGGCAGATTTGAGGTCAGGAGTTCAAGACCCGCCTGGCCAACATGGAGAAAACCTGTCTCTACTAAAAATTCAAAAATTAGCCAGTCATGGTGGCACACATCTGTAATCCCAGCTACTCAGGAGGCTGAAGCAGGAGAATCATTTGAACCTGGGAGGCAGAGGTTGCATGCAGTGAGCCGAGATCGCACCACTGCACTCCAGCCTGGGCGACGGAGCGAGACTCCGTCTGAAAAAGAAAAGAAAAGAAAAGAAATACACATGGAGGAAAGTAGAGACAATCAGGTAGAAAAGTAGAAATACTTGTACCTTGGTGGGAAATATAAAATCATGGAATCTAAGAATCTAACTTTTTCTCTTTCTGCTGCTGCTCATAGATGAAAACTCCTGAAAACAATGGAAATCAAGGAGTCAGAATGAACGTCAATGCCATTGTTTTCAATAAGCCTCACAAATCAAGCATGGAAAAGAGATTGCTGGTGAGTGATTATAAATGTGATGTAAAGAGGAACTATTGAAAAGTGAAAAAAGCTTTTTGGAAGAGTTTTTCGTGCTAAGGTTCTCAGAAGCTTTGAAGCCTTTCATAGCTTTTTCTGCTTCCCAATATAGTTTGATAACTAGGTAACATGTGGAGTAATTTTTCTCAAATCATAGAGAAAATCTGGGTTCCACTAAGGAGGTAGTGAGCAGTTATAAAGTAGCAAGTAAGTAGTGTAATTTTATAACTAAACCAATTGTATTTATGTCTTCAAATTGTAATCAAAATTATAACCTGAAATATGTATAACACTTACATTAATACTACTTATATTAAGTTATGCAAATTAAGTTGTAGTTTATAGGTGGAAAAGCATGTTCTAATTCATCACATGGACAGGTGTACCTAACTGAAGACTTGCTGCTGGGCCAATGATCTCATCATATCTTGTGGTTGTACCATGGTAATACATGTGGATAAAACAACAACAACAATGTATTGGCTAAAATAAAATAAATTGCATTTACATCATTAACATTTAGTTTTATTTATTTATTTTTTTAACAAGAGAAACTTTCCTATTACAACAGAAGAAATGTGAAAAGATTAGGCGTGAATATTACTCCAATGCTGAAATGGAAGAGATCCCCAGAAAAACTGTCTCTTCATGTGACTCAATGATATGGCTACAAGTTTCTTGTTTAGAGCTAAGTTTACAGGGACTTATTATTTTCAGTCTCATAGATCAAAGAAAAATAAGGTTCTAGGTGGAAGAAAGTCAAAGGATAGGACTCTTGACTAACCTCGACTTCATTCAGTTTTTTAAAAAAATTAAACACTCTTCCTCCTCCTCTCTCTAAAAGAAAAAGAAACCCTCAAAACCGTATCATTGCTATGAATTCACAGATAACCTCTGAAGCCAGAATAATACTCCTTGTCCACAATAAATCCTATATATTTTTTTCAATATACTCACCTCATCACCCCACACCCCTCCACACACACAAACACAATCACAGCTATTATGTGCCACCATCCCACATTCTTAGCAAAAAAAAAATCTGGAAAGAAAAAGCAAGTAGACACAAGAAATATACGTTAGACGGGAGTAGAGGTCTGGGGAAAAGCTCAGATTCCCTCACTACAATTTTGCACATCTTGAGACAATGGTGCAGTACTTAGGGTGTTCTGAAGGAAGGAAAGTTTAAGGGAAAGGAAGAATTATCAAGCCAAATTGTCTTTTAAAAATAAAGATAATAGCAGATATGCTTACATAAGAATATGCCCAGGGGCGCCTTAGAGCCCTTTTGGATATAAACTAGGTGATTAAACATTGCTAAGCAAAAACAGTCAAAACAAGAAATACAAAAAACACAAAGCAAGAAAAGACTAGATATTTTAAAGTTAAAAAAAAGTTCTTGAGACTAAACCCCTGGGAAAATTTTTATTGCACACCAAGATATAAATGTTTTATATATATATAACATTTATATGTATATATCTGCATAAGTATTATACATATATCTATGCATCTATATATAATGTAACTCAGTGTAGTAAAATAATGTAAGCAATGAAATTACAAAGTCATTTATAGAAGATGGTCAATTGGTGTACTTTAAAACTGAAACAGATAATTTTAACATATCATGATCTTAATGTTGTATATTTATTTTTCATTTTTAAATGATATTATGGGTACTGATATCCTTTGTGAAATGAATCCTACTTTTAGAAATTTATTTATCCAATTCAATTACAGTAAAATTAAATACTTAACTATTTTGAAAATAGCATGCATACTATGATCCATTGATATAAAATTATTTCTCAGTATCTACTGATCTACTTCTCCTCCTTTGTCAAGGTTTATAATATTTACATTCTGTTCTGCAACAATCATTCCCCTAGCTGCAGAGAGAGCCGCAATAATGTTCATCAAGCATCATTGCTGCATAATTCAGTGTGGTAAGATTTGTGGTGATTTGTTATTTCTTTCTTTGTATTTTCTACTATTGTTTTGTTAAGAAATCATGAACAAATGTATTTTTTATAAAAGAAGGAAATAATTTTTAAAAAAAAAATGAGAAAAGATTCACATCTCAATAACAAGTTGCAGATGTATTTAAATAAGGGCTTCATATTTGTGATTATAATTTACTTCTGTATGTATTGTGATACCGGTAGCACCAATGAATGTAGAAGGTACTGGAAGACCTACAGGAGCAACTAAATGAGCCTTGAGAAGCCGTAGGTGTTGAAGATGGGTTTTGAAGGGCGAAGAGTCTATAGCCACAGCACTGTGAATGTACTCAATCTCTAGTCTCAGAAGCTAAGCAGGATCCAGCCCGGTTAGTACTTGGATGGAAGACCACCTGGGAATACTGGATGCAATGGGCTAAAAAATAAGAATAAATGAATAAAGACTAAGACTGAAGAGAATCTTTTTGCATGACTGAGAAGAGGAAGACATAGGAGGACAATATTACTGTCTGTGCAAAGAGCAAGAGGGGAGATCCACAGGAGGAGTCCACACAACTGTGAATTGGTGCAGCAGCACCGAAGGGAAGGCAAGTATGACTCAGAATCCTAAAAAATGAGGAAAGAGAGACCCACACCTCGATGTCATGGGGCTCCCAGTCTAGTGAATGACACACGTCAACAGGCAAGTATGTCCAATGAGATAAGCCCTCTGACCGGAAAAAAATGGGATGCTTATGGGAATGTGTAAAAAGGTCCCCTCATCCTATTGTGAGGTCAAGAGAGGCCTCCTGGAAGAAGAGACATGTAAGCCAAACTTAAGAACCAGGAGAAATTAGTGACAAAACAGAGCAGAAAAATTCTTTTCACTATGGGTAAAAAGAATAGGAGAAGACAAACCCAGAGCAGAGCATGGGGGATTGCCAGGCCCAGACAGGGAGCGTGTGACTGAGTCATGAAGCGTGCTCGGAAGTGTAGCTCCCTCCTCACTCAGAACTGGCAGTCCGGCTGTGGGCCTAAGGTTTCTCCACGCAGGCCAAATTCTCTCCCTTCTTGGTGCACTTCCAAAAGAGGCTGAGGTCAACTCTCCTACCCCTTTTATTTAGAGCCTATCTTCCCCGTTGACCTAGAAAAATGGTGACAAACTTTATAGGTGTTGTTTCTTCCAGGAGACGTACAGGGTCTTCATACATGGCCTGACCTAACTCCCAGAGTTCCCAAGAGAGGTATGCAGACTGGTACCCTGATTGTGACATTAGTCACAGCCCTTCCCATATTTTGCCTTACAGATCTTATTTCTCCCTCTCTCCTCTCATAGGTTACTTGAGGACATGGCATTTCCTCTCCCTCTTTTTGTATAAATTTAGGGAATACAAGTGGAGTTTTGTTACCTGGATGAAAGAGGTGAAGTTCGGGTCTTTAGTGTAATTCTCACCTGAATAATGTACATTGTATCCATTAAGTAATTTCTCATCCCTCATGCCCAGTCTCCCACCCTTCCAAGTCTCCAGTGTCTATTATTCTACTCTCTATGTCCATGTGAACACATTATTTATCTCCCACTTATAAGTGAGAACATGCAATACTTTACCTTCTGCTTCGGAGTTATTTCACTTAAAATAATGACTTCTAGTTCCATTCACATTGATGCAAGAGACAGGATTTCATTTATTTTTATGGATGAGTAGTATTCCATGGTGTGTGTGTGTGTGTTTGTGTGTGTGTGTGTGTGTGTGTGTGTGTGTATCACATTTTCTTTATCCAATCATCCATTGATGGACTGGTAGGTTGATTCCATATCTTTGCTGTTGTAAATACTGCTGCAGTAAACATACAAGAGCAGGTATCTTTTTGATATAATGATTTGTTTTCCTTTCGGTGTATGCCCAGGAGTGGGATTGCCAGATTTAATGGTAGTTCTATTTTTAGTTCTTTGAGAAATGTCCGTTATGTTTTCCATAGAGGCTGAACTGTTTACATTCCCTCCAACAATGTATAAGCCTTTCCTTTTCTCCACAACCTCACCAATATCTGTTGTTTTTGGCTTTTTAATAATAGCCACTCTGACTGGTGTAAGATGGTGCCTCATTGTGGTCTTAATTTGCATTTCTGTGATGTCAGTGATGTTGAGCATTTTTTCATATGTTTGTTGGTCATTTGTATGTCTTCTTTTGAAAAAGTCTGTTCATGTTCTTTGCCCACTTTTTAATGGGGTTATTTGTTTTATTGCTGTTGTTGAGTTATTGAGGAGTTCATTGTAGATTCTGAATATTAGGCCCTCATCAGAGGAATAGTTTGCAAATATTTTCTCCCATTCTGCAGGTTCTTTGTTCACTCTGCTGATTATTTCTTTTACTGTGCAGAAGCTTTTTAGTTTAATTAAGTCCTAATCGTCTATTTTTGTTTCTGTTGAATCTACTTTTGAGGTCTTATTCATGAATTATTTGCCTAGGCCAATGTCTAGAAGCGTTTTTCCTGGGTTTTCTTCTAGTGTTTTTGTAGTTCCAGGCCTTATATTTAAGTCTTTAATCCATCTTGAGTTAATTTTTATATATGGTGAAAGATAGGAGTCCAGTTTCTCTTTGTATATGGCATTTTCTTATTCATAGGACCTTGATCCCAGTGAGTTCTAAATAGATGTTTGTTACTTGTCATTCAAGACTTGTGGCAAGCAAAAAGTTCAGATATATATACTTTTCAATACAAGGAATTTACATACCTCTTAATGTTAATACTTGCAGGTAGTAATCATATTTATTTCAGCTCTATTTATTCCAAAACATAAATAACATTATCCGTTTGTGGTAAATGCACTTAAATGTTCATGAAGTCATAAGCTATTTAACTGCAGTAAGCTTTTCATCATACACTTCTCTTGAGTAATACATATGTTCCTGAACTTCTTTCCAAAGTTGTAGAAACAGAACTAGACAGACTTGAGGCAAGTCTGAGTTTCTTGGTTTTATCCATTGGTAACATGCAGTGCGATCTAGTGTCATGCTTCCTTACATTTGGAGATAGTGTTACCTGATTGCCAGGAATAGATCTCAACTAAGTCATTTCTCATTCATAGAGACAAGGCAGGTGAATTCTCTTCAAATTAGGCCATCTAAAAAGGTATATGTTATTTCAATATTAATTTAATAACAAGCTACCCACAGTAATTACCTCTTTAGTTTCACATGAGTAACTTTCCTTGTCTGGACTTGGACTAATGAGTACATTAAATCTGCTACAAAGACAATCTACTCAGTGTAGTACTAAAGACAAGGTGGAAGGAAGGAGCTTTTCTGGATAGTTTTATCCTGAAAAGATCAGCACAGGAGTGTGGCACTGAGAACACACTGTATCCTCGAATGGAAAGCCTACAATAGGCAGCAATGTTATACATTTATTTAGAACTATATATGTATCAAAGAGTTTTCACATACACCATTTCACTCAATTCACTCATCAAAAGGTCAGAAGGCATCCAAATAACCCTCTAGGTGCATCACACAGCATTTATGTTCTGCATATGAAAAAAAAATCTTACATGAGTTTTGTCTGCCTTAACAAGGGAAGAGAACTAGCAAATGAAAAATACAAAATCATCCTCTTGCCAATTTCTACATAAAGGCACCATTTCCTTCAGTTATCTTACAAAATACCACAAATGGGCAATTCAACCCAATTATTTCCTTGGGATAAAGAAATAAAGTATTGACAAATAAATGCATTACTACTATCTTGACTACAAGGTATTTGAATTAGGGAATATAAAGAACCATTCTTCTTTGACTCAGTTCCATCAATGGGTTTAACATTTGCTGAAAGAAATCTTTATTGAGTCGTGTTTATGTAGTAGAGATAGCACTTCACAGAGACCATTTATACCCATCAAAAGGTGGCTGCCATGATTCTCAGAATAAATCTCTTTGTCTTACCAAAACATCTAATCATAAATTTTTTCAAATAGGAAACCATTTGAGTATCAAATTCTAAGACTTTAGGGGAAGAAGTTTTCTAGATGGCAATATCTTTTTCAGAAAGTTCTCATTTGGCCAGGCTCATGTGGTGGTTCTCGTCTGTAATCCTGGCACTTTGGGAGGATGAGGCAAGAGGATTGCTTGAATCCCAAGTTTGAGCCTGGGCAACATAGCAAGACCCTCTCTTGCTATTTTTCTTAAAAATAAAGAGAGAAACACAGTTCTTACTTGTGCTTCATCTGAAATGGGAAGTACCATAGAAAGAAATGCCATAACAAATGCACAGGCCAATCATTCACGCTGTGAAAGAACACTATGTGGTTTGCTGCCTATTTGCAGGGAGCAGTTCTTCACTAGTGATATAAAGACTCGATTGCAAAACTTGGCTCCAGATGTTGGGCTCAGCCTCCAGGTCTAATGTGGTGGGAACTTTATCAATCAAATCCCTGTACCGAGCACAGGCACGAAGCCATAGCTATGTTGCATAGCTGAGGTGTTCTTTAAAAACAAAATTTAAAAAAATGCAAACATCAAGCCCCATGGGCACCTGGGTAATCTTCAGGTGCGCTGTGCCCCTCCCCTGGGTGTGAGCCTCTGGTTTCATTCCTTCCTGAGGCATCGTTTTATCTCTAGCTCATCTTTCATCAGTGCCTGTCAGTGGAATATCACAATTCCAGACTGGGAAAACAATTCTTTTGGAGCTAGGGAAATACAAAAAGATTTTAGTCATGGAAATCCCCTCTACTTTAAACCAATATTTTATTCATGTTTGGAAAATACCACTTTGTTGTTGTTTCCATTCTAATCTGCTTCAGTATTTCCTGTTTTAATTCCAAAACCAAATGTATGACAAACCAGGAGGGTCTTGGGCCAATTCCAAATCAATAAAACCAGAAAGTAACCACCAACTAACCAAATTACTGCTCATGCCGGATTTTGTGCAGAATTTTAAAAGGTGGACATAAAGTGCATAAGACAATCAAACTCAGAGTTTCAGATATGACGTGTATCAAAGTCAACCAGAGAGAGCCCAGTCCTTTCTATATGGTGGGTGACATTTATATGTAATCTGAGGGCGATGATGAATGTATCATAGGGAAATATTTTGTTGATTATGACATAAAAGAGAGAGAAGAAATTGCCTTTCTGACTTGCGTATCTACTTTTTCTTTCTTTGTTTCTTCCCCCTTTACTTTGTAATTGGAGAAAATGTTGGTCAAGTTTGAATTGGTGGAGCCAAAAATTCATTCTAGCCCTGCGATTCTGTAAGTCTGTAATAACAATAATCATAGAATTAGAGAATTTTCTTTAAATAGAAGGAGACTGCACTCAACATTCATTTATTAGGCATCTATTCTGGGGGAGGGGGACTAGCCCGACCCCATTTTACAAACATAAGAAGTGATCTGTAGACTTGATGATTGCTCTGAGATCACTCAGCCAACGAGTCTCAGAGTCAGGCTTCTTGAATCCAAGGCAGATCTTTTCACTCTGGGCCAAGCCTATTACTCTCTCACAGTCTCCTAACCATATCACATCCAGGGTCAATATGCAGACATGATAAAAAAATCATCCATATACTATTTGATATTTTCGGGGGGATCATTTGTAAATAAACAAACAAATTGCCTAATTGCTAGCCTGGACTAGGGACAGAGATAAGTTTAAAAAAAGAAAGCTATGAACCACAAACACTGTTATTAAAATTGGAACCAGGAAACATGACCCATTAAACTGTCAATTAAATAAATTATCAAATCAAATAACAAGATCTTTGTCTGCAGATGATGGTAGGGAAAAGGCTGAAAGGAAAACTGGCAAATACATGTTCTTCTTAAGGCAATTGAGAGCTAGGCCCTGAAATTATGAGAATTTGCAAAAACTGTCTAAGAGAAATAGGATGCTCGTATATATACCCTTCTTTAGATTCATAATAATCTAACGACTTATGAAGAATTACTATATCACCAGTTAAACATCAAATGTATTTCCTTAAAATGAATGTGTTATTAATTGTATTTAATTTTCCAGGAAGAATGCAGAATATTATTATTAAACATCTTATGCATTTCATATATTTCCTGTTTATAAATTACTTTCCCAAATTATGTATCATGTTTCCCTTATTGTTCTCAAAATTCAGCATTACTATCTCACTTTTTTCTCATTTTCAGAGATTAAAGTTAAGAAAAATTAATAATCTGTGACAGAAGTTCTGCAATTTATAGCAACTCACACAAGAGCCTGCTGAAATACATTATTACCTCCCTTTAATATTCTGATGTGCCCAGCAGGAAAAATAGAGTCAACACCCACCTCCCCACAATGGCTTAAATAATTTACCAATGAACTAACAGCACATTTTTAATCCTACCCTTGTCTCCTAACATGCCAATTTTCCTTGTGTCAGTTTACATTTCTTCAGAAATGCAAACTCACTTTGAAATACACCTAATTGGAAAGGTAAGTGAGCTACTAATATTTTCATACTGCATTTAAAATCTAACTAAAAAGTCTTTTTAATTTTTCATGAAGATGTTCCATCCATAGCCATGGCTATTGACAAATTTATTGAAACATCAGAATACTCAGAAACAACTCATTGAACATATCACAGATTACAGCAGTTTTGGAAAACATGGAGAATAGAGGCCATATTTGAACAACATAGGTTTATCATGGGGTTCCACATTTCCATATATAGGTAGGGCAGGTTTCCACACATAGGTTTGAGGCACAGTAATAGGGAGAGAGCAATGAAAGTAAACAAATTTACCTTCATTTTACAAATTTACTTTCACTTTACAAAATAGGTGTTCCAGTCACCAATTTGAAGGCTTGAAGACCAATTCCAAAGCTTGCACTGGTCTTCAAGCCTTCAAGCTGGTGACTGGAACATCTATTTTGGACTCCAGAAACACTACTGCTAGTGACCCCTACAACCACACATTGAATTATACCATGCAGCTTTCCAGTTGTACAGCCTAATCCTTCCATGGGCCATAATAAAAATGCTACTCTGCCTTTAACTTTAGTGAAGTTAATTAATTTGTATTAATAAAAAATGCCTTGGCAAACCCAGATGAAAAGTTTCATATAGATGTAATCAACTACTTTTCTCCAGATAATTGCCACTTGGGCTGAGAAATTGAAAGCATGCCAGCTTAAAATGTTTTTAAAGACTTCGATCAACTTTCTCTCCCCAAATAAAGAACTAAAAGTCACAGGACAGACTGTAGGCTGCAGACTCCATTCTTAACATTGCCCAGCAACATATATTTATATTACCAGCATTTGTCCTCCAAATTTGACCTGGAGTTGGCCTCTGAATTGGTACAGGGAAGGAAAAGCACAGGGGCTGTAGAGCCCAGGAAAGCTAGAAACAAACTGTCTTCTTAAATTACCCAGATTTGTAACCAAGCCTAAAATAACACAGCCCTGCCAGCCTTCAGCCCTAAGATCTGACGCTCACTCTCAGAAATAATAAAACAATACTGTTGTCTTGGCCTTATTTGTTTTATTTCATTGTCTCTATGGCCATTTCCAAAGAAATGGATAAAAGCCCCTATTCCCTTTCTTAATTTGCTATAGAATCTTGTTTTAAAGTAAATGTATACTTACCAGAAGAAAACAATAAAGATTTTCTTTCAAGAAGCAGTGTTTGAACAGTTCTAGTAACTCACAGAATAATTTTGAATTAGTTAAATTTAAAAAAAAACTAAGCATGTATTTATTTAGAAAACTTTGAGTCATTAAAGTTTTAAAACACAACAACACAGGTGTGGAGAAGTAAAGATATTTGATAAGAGATTTTGTGTTTCTTTCACAGTAAGTAGCTTTGGGTTTCTGTCTATATTACTGGCTCATGCATGACCTACTTATTTCAGTAGTCAAATTGAATTGGATCATTCCGTTAATCAACATACAAAATGTACATAGCTTGACCCATTTGGTAATTTCATGTAGATATATCTTAATCTGTTTATTTTTTAAATCTGTTACTTGATTTAGTTAATATCTCTTATTACAAGGAGAATAAGATCAAAGCTACGTAACACTGGAGGCTTTAAATTATTCTATCCTAAGTATGCGTTGTGCAGGACGCCTTACATAGTGATGAGTTCATTTAATGGCATCATTTTTGTATTCAAGAACTAAAAAACTTTAGACAAGGCCCAGAAGAGATGAACCTTAGAAGAAATCTCACTTTCTAAAAAGTATAATAAAAAGCATATTAGGGAAAAAAAGCTGAAGCTAAGAATGATATTAACAGATACTAAATCATAAAGTGTTTTTTGCTGAATTGCTTAATAATCACAAATTATTTTATTATCTTGTAATAATTTAATAATCAATAGAACTAGGTATTTCAAATTGTGATAATGTTACTTGGCTCATAGGTAGGAAATTACTATTGAGTTAAAAAAAATCACCTTAAAACTATGCTATAGCAACATTAATAAAACAGTTTTTGGCTTATAAAAAACAGGCTCTTCTCCTAAAAATGCTGTGAAGAGAGGATTTTTCCCATTTCACAAATCCTGTGTTTAAAGAACCTACTCAAGGTCACCCAGCTAGGAAGAAAACCTTCCCGTTATATCTCTGCCTTTACACTTTTGAGATCTGTTCCCATAGCTACTTTTAAGTTTTGGGCTAATTTTTAGTGATCCTAAACATTTCTCATTTCCAGCCTCACACACCCATACGTCTTGGAGATAGGCACTCACTAGAGGCTTTGTGAACTTGCTTACTTGGGGAAATTACCTAACCTGCCTGTGTTTCAGATTTCTCCTCTGTAAATTAAAAATAATTATAAAACCTACCTCCTATGGTTGATAGGAAAAATTTTAAAAACTTACATATGTCAAGATCTTAGTAAGTCAACAAGGGTTAGCAATGGAGGAAAGAGCAAATCACAGGAAAATATCACCCTTGTAACTTTCCAATTTCCGCCATTTTTCTCCCTGGATTTGGCATGCCCCTCACAGAATCTGCCGTGCATGCAGTGCTTGCAAAGAAAAGGAAACCTTGGTTGACCTTGAGCAAGGGGTCAACAATTAACTGATCCAGAAGTGATAACCTTATGTAGGGACAGCCAATCCTCAAAGTGGGTTGGTATCTACTGAGGCAGTTTTGCATAATAATAATGATGGTAATCATTAGACCAGTTGGCCTCTGTCATTTAAATGAGAAAACAGGGTGAGTAAGCCAGGTGATGGACGAATAAACCATTGGGGATAAAAGCATGGGTTTTTAAGTTGAAGAAACCTAGAATCAAATTTGGTTCTGCCTAGCTGGGGTCCTTTGGGATGAACGGATTCATTCATCCAGCTGAGCCTCAGTTTCCTCCCACATTCCCACTACCCAGCCCTAATTCAAGCCACTCTCTGCCCACCTAATTGGGCTCCATGTTTCCTGCCTAGAGTTCCCCAAACCCATCGCTCACACTGCCCTGGAACAGTGTGGCCAGATAAAATACAGGAAGTCTGGTTAAATTTGAAATTCAGATAAATAACAAACAATATTTAATACTGTATAGGTATGTTTCATGCTGAAACGTTACTCCTTATTTATCTAACATTCAAACTTGGACGAGTACCATGGCTCACATCTGTAATCCCAGTACTTTGGGAGGCCAAAGCAGGAGGATGGCTTGAGACCAGGAGTTTGAGACCAGCCTGGGCAAGACAGTAAGACCTTATCTCTAAAACAAGAAAAAAAAAATCAAACTTAAGTGAGCATCCCATTCTTTTATATTTTACTATAAGAAAATTTTATATCTTATAGTAAAATATAAAAGATATAAAGAATTTTATACTTTATAGTAAAAGCATATCACAACTATATACCAGAGTTACATTACATGCAGAAAATATAAATCTGGTCAGGGTATTCCCATCTTAAATTTTCAAATGGCATCCTATAAGTATTCAATTCAAATGGCATCCTATAGGTATTCAATTCATGCTTTTATCTATAAATACATTTCACAAATGTCTTCATGATACCACCATTTTCTCTCTGACATCATGTTCCATCTCTTTCTACCATCTCATTTTCCTACTTATGTGACTGTTTCTTTGCTTAAGTTTTTCACTTCATCCAGAAAGCCTTAACTAATTAATGTATCTCTTACTCATCTCAAACACACCATCCACTCCCAGCTGTCCATTAACGTGGCTAGATTAAGTGTCTCTTCTTTATACTCCTAGAGTATATATATGACCTAGAGTCATATATATATTTGTACTAAACATATATGTGTGTGTATGTGTGTGTTTGCGTGTATTATGCTAGGAGTAATATATATATATATATATAGATAAATAGATAGATAGATCACTCTTTTGCCACCAATCTACTTCACAAGAACATACATATTTTTTTAGAACAGAGGCTGTTTTCTTTACGTTTGTATCTGTAACTCCTAAAACAGTAACTGACATTTAATACATATTTGTGGTACTAAACTGTACTCATGCACATGGCTCCTAATTATTCTCCGCCTACTTTTGGTGGGGGGTCATGCCTTATCCTAAAAACAAAGCAGCAGTTTCTTTCATGCATGCTGTGAACTAATTTCATGCCCTTCAATAATGACGATAGAAAATTTGCAGAGAAGATTTTTGTAACTTTCAACAAATGGTCACCTATATTAATTTACAAGAGTCCTTCTGCATTTAAAGATCTCCTTCAGTGATTCATTCATCTATTTAAGAAGCATCTATAAAGGCTGGGCGTGGTGCCTCATGCCTGTAATCCCAGCACTTTGGGAGGCCAATGTGGGTGGATTGCTTGAGTTCA